>NC_000003.12:124160119-124311634 GCF_000001405.40 Homo sapiens | reverse complement strand
TAAGAATTGAATTACTAGGTCATATGGCAACTCTAACTATTTGAGGAACTGTCAGACTGTATTCCAAAGTAGTTATACCATTTTACACGCCTGCAGCCATGTGTGAGCATTCTGACTTCTCCATATCCTTGCTAACATTTGTTATTATCAGAGTTTTACTTTTCTTTTTTTTTTTGGAGTCTTGCTCTGTTGCCCAGGCTGGAGTGCAGAGTGGTGCAATCTCTGCTCACTGCAACCTCTGCCTCCTGAGTTCAAGCGATTCTCCTGCTTCGCCCTCCCCAGTAGCTGGGACTATAGGCGTGCCCCACCATGCCCAGTTAGTTTTTTACCTATTTTTAGTAGAGACCAGGTTTTGCCGTGTTGGCCAGGCTGGTCTCGAACTCCTGACCTCCAGTGATCCACCTGCCTCGGCCTCCCAAAGTGCTGCGATTATAGGCGTGAGCCACTGCGCCTGTCCAGAGTTTTTGATTATAGCCAATCTAGTGCATTCTAGTGGGGAAGAAGTAGTATCCAGCCTGGGTGACAGAGCAAGACTCCATCTCAAAAAAAAAAAAAAAAAAAAAAAAAAAAGAAGTAGTATCTCATTGTGGTTTTGATTTACGTTTCCCTGATGACTAATTATGTCAAGCATCTTTTCATGTGCTTATGACCATCTGTATATATTATTGAAGAAATGTCTATTTAAATCCTTTGCACATTTTAATTGGGTTGTCTTTTTATTATTGAGTTGTAAGAGTTCTTTATAGATTGCAGACATAACTCCCTTATCAGATAAATATTTGCAAATATTTTCTCCCATTTTGTGGTTTTTCTTTTCATCTCTTGACTGTCATTTTTGATGCACAAAATTTTTTGTTTTGATGATGTCCAACTTATCCATTTTTAATTTAGTGTAAGGTAAGGGTCCAACATCATTCTTTTGCTTATGACTATCCAGTTGTCCCAGCACCATTTGTTGAAAAGACAGTTCTTTCCCCATAAAATGATATTGGCACTCTTGTCTAAAATATGTTGACCACAGACACATGGGTTTATTTATGAACTCATAATTCTATTCCATTGATCTATATGTCTGTCCTTATGCCAGTATCACATTGTCTTAATTACTTTTGCTTTGTATTAAGTTTTGAAATTGGATAGTATGAGTCTTCCAACTTTGTTCTCTTTCAACATTATTTTGGCTATTCTGCATCTCCTAAAATTCCACATGAATTTTAGAATCAGTTTGTCAATTTCTACAAAGAATCCAGTTGGGATCCTGATAGAGATATACTGGATTTATAGATCAAGGATTTGAGGAGTATTGCCATCCTAACAATATTAAGTCTTCTAATCAATGAACATGAGATTTTTTTTCATTTATTTGTATCTTTAATTTCTTTCAACAATGCTTTATAGTTTTCAGAGTATAAGTTTTACACTTTTTTCATTAAATTTATTCCCAAGCATCTTATTCTTTTTTATGCTATTATAAATGGAATTTTTTTCCTATTTCCATTTTCAAATTATTTATTTTAAGTGCATGGAAAGACAATTAATTTTTGTTTATTCATTTTGTATCCTGCAACCTTGTTGAACTTATTTACTAGCTCTAATAGTTTTTTACTGAATATTTTGGGATTTTTCATATACATGCTTGTGTCATCTGAAAATATAGTTTTACTTCTTTCCAATTTGGATGACTCTTATTTCTTTTTCCCGAATAATTGCCCTGAATAGACCCTCCAATATTGAATGGAAGGGGCAAGAGTGTCGTTGTCTTGTTCTTGATCTTAAGCGGGGAAGTATCCAGTATACTATTAAGTATAACAATAGCTGTGAATTTTTGTAGATGCCCTTTTTCTGGTTGAGGAAGTTATCTTCTATTCCTAGTTTGTTGAGTATTTTTATTATGAATAGGTGTTGGATTTTGTCAAATGCTTTTTCTGGGTCTATTGAGATGATCACATGATTTTTGTTTTTTTTTTCCTACTGAAGTTAAACCAAGCTCACAATTCTGGGATGACTCCCACTTGGTCGTGGTGTGTAATTCTTTCTATATGTTGCTGGATTTTGTTTCTTTTTGTTTGTTTTAAAGATGGGGTCTTGCTCTGTCCCCAGGCTGGAGTGCAATGACACGATTATAACTCATTAAAGCCATAAAACTCCTGGAGTCAAATAACTCTCCTGCCTCAGCCTCACAAGTAGCTGGGACTATTCGTGAGCACCACCATGTCTGGCTAATTGGATTTGGTTTGATAGTATTTTGTTGGAAATCTTTGCATCCATATTTATAAGAGATATTGGTCTGTAGTTTTCTTGTGTGACAGATTTATCTGGATTTGGTATCAGGGTAATACTGGCCTTGTAAGCTGGGACATGTTCCCTCATCTTTTTTTTTTTAATATAAGCTTACAAAAAATGAGTATTAATTCTTTAAATGTTTGGTAGAATTCAGTGATGAAGCCATCTGGGCCTGGGCTTTTCTTTGAGAATATTTCTTTGATTACTAATTCAATCTCTTCACTTGCTATTGGTCTATTCAGATTATCTATTTCTTCTTGAATCAGTATCAGTTGTTACTACCTTTCTATGAATTTGTCCATTTCATTTATTATCTAATTTATTGGCTTGCAATTATTTATAGCATCTCTTTATAATACTATTTTCTCGTAAGGTAAGTAATAATATCCCCTCTTTCACTTCTGAGTCTAGTAATTTTTTTCATTGGTTGTTCTAGGTAAAGGTTTGTAAGTTTGGTTGACCTTTTCAATAAACCAGCTTTTGGTTTCATTAAATTTCTCTATTGTTTTCCTATTCTCTAGTTAATTTCTACTCTAATCTTTATTATTTCCTTTCTTCTGCTTGCTTTAGGTTTCGTTTGCTCTTCTTTTTCCAGTGTTTTAAAGTGGAAGTTTAGGTTATTGAGAACTTTTTTTTAGCTTTTTTAAGATAGGCATTACAACTATATGTTCTCTCTAAGCACAATTTTAGCTGTATCACGTAAGTTGTGGTATGATGTGTCAAAAATTTCATTCATCTAAAATTAGTTTCCAATTCTCCTTTTTATTTTGTCTCTTAGCTATTGGATATTCAGGAAGATGTTATTTAATTTCCACCTATTCGTGAATTTCTGAAATTCTTTCTGTTACCGATTTCTAATTTCATTCCATTGTGATGGGGTAAATATCTGGCATTATTTCTATCCTTTTTTATTTCATGAGGTTTGTTTTTTGACCTAGGATATGGTCTATTATGGACAATGTTTCATGTCCTGGAGAAGATTATATAGTCTGCTATTGTTGGATGGAGTGTTCTATAGATGTCTGTTGGTTCAATTTGGCTTATAGTCTTCTATTTCTTTGTTTAGGTATTCTATTTCCTTCTGCTAATTTGTTCCATCCATTATTAAAAGGGGGTATTGAAGTCTCCAATTAATACACTTGAATTGTATATTTCTTGCTTCATTTCTGTCAGTTTTTGCTTTGTGTATTTTGGTACTTTTTTGTTAGGTGTATATGTGCTTATAGTTGTTACATCTTCCTGATAGAGTGACATTCTTCTTCTTTAAAAAGTTGCTTTTTATCTTTAGTAACTTTTTGCTGTTCTTTTAAAATGCACTTAAGAATCTGTTATTAATATAGTCACTTGGCTATTCTTCTGATTGCTGTTTGCATAATACATGTTTTTCTATCCTTTTACTTTCCATCTATTTATATCTTTGAATCCAAAATGTGCCTCCTGTATACAGCAATTAGATTGGGTCTTATATTTTTTAAAAATGTTTTTTGACAGTGTTACTAACTGGATCTTGGTTTTTAAATCCAGTCTGACAATTTCTACCTTTGATTGGATTATTGAATCCTTTCACATTTAATGTCATTATTAATAGAGTTTATGTCTGCCATTTGACTTTTTTCTATATGTCTTTTTTATACTTCTATAACCCTGTACTGCTTTTTTTGCATAAGTGAGTATTTTGTAGTGTAGCATCTTGGTATCTTTACTGATTGATTTTTTTCACTATATTTTGGGAGTTATTTTCCTAGCTATTGCTCTAGGGCTTACCATATACACCTTATCAGAATCAGCTTCTACTGTACATTAACTTAATTCCAGTGAGACATAAAAATATTACTCCTATAGAGCTTTATTCCCTTTCCTCACATTTTGTCATATTTTATACATATTACATTTATAAATGTTACAAACCAAACATTAGATTGTTATAAGTATCACTTTCTGTAATTTTATGTCTTTTATAGAAGCTGAGACAAAAAAGGAGGATTACTATATATTTATAGCTTTTTTCATATTAGTCTTATTTATCATTTCTGAATCACTGTATTTGTTTCTGTGGATTCAAGTTATCATCTGGACTAATTTCCTTAGCCTACTACAAATTTGCTCCTACCAACCTCCTTTGTGCTATCACTGGAAAACATATTACATTTTTATGTTATAGGCCCAACAATACATTATGTACATATTATCTTATATGATTGCTTTTGAAATCAATTAAGAGAAAAAAGGAGAAGAAATGTGTGTTTATACTGTCTTTTATAGTCACATAATTACCTTTATCAGTGCTCTTTGTCTTTTGGTGTAGATTCAAATTACCATCAAGGGTCACTTGCTTTTAGCTTGAAAAACTTCCTTTATTATTTCTTATAAGGTGTATCTGCTAGAAACAAATTTTCTCAGTTTTTGTTTATCTCAGAATAGTTTTATTTCACCTTGATTTTTGAATGATAGTTTTGTTGGATATAGTATTCTTGGTTAACAGTTGTTTCCTTTGAGCACTTTTTAATATGTTGTCCTACTTCCTTTGGACCTCCATTGTTTCTGATGAGAAATCAGCTTTTAATCTTATTGAGGTTCCCTTGTAACAGAGAAGTCATTTTCCTCTTGCTATTTTTAAGGTTTTCCTTGTCTTTGGCTTTCAGTATTTTGCCATAATGTGTCTGCTTATGGATCTTCTTGAATTTATCCTACTTGGAGTTTCTTAAGCATCCTGGCCATAAATATTTTAAAATAAACTTTGAAAGATTTCAGCCACTATTTCATCTAATAATTTAATAATTTTTTTCTGTTTCTTCCTCTCTCTCCTCTCCTTTTGGTACTGCCATTATGCATAGCAGTTGGTGCACTTAATGGTGTCTCATGTTTTCCTGAAGCTCTGTACATTTGTCCTCATTCTTTTTTCTCTCTGTTCTTCATATTGCATAATTTCTATTAGTTTATCTTCAAGATTGTTAATTCTGTTTTTTCTTGTCAGTTCAAATCTACATTGAGCCTCTCTAAAAAATTTTTGTCTCAGTTATTGTATTTTTCAGCTCCATATTTCCTTTAAAAAAATAAGCCTCTCAGCCTGAGCAACATGGCAAAATCCCATATTTACAAAAAATGAAAAATTAGCTAGGCATGGTGGCATGCACCTGTAGTTCCAGCTACTCAGGTGGCTGAGGTGGGAGGACCGCTTGAGCCTAGGAGGTTAAGGCTGCAGTGAGCCATGATTGTCCCACTGCACTTCAGCCTGGGTGATAGAGCAAGACCCTATTTCAAAATAAATAATAATAATAATAATGTCTTTACTGATATTCTGTGTTTGATGGGGACATTGTAATTATGCTTTCATTTAATTCTTCAACTATGGTTTGTTTTTTGAACATATCTATAATAGCAATTTTAAGGTCTTTGTAAAATCTGACATCTGGTTGCTCTCACAGGTGATTTCTATTGACTGTTTTTTATTTTTTTTCTAGTACATATTTTTACTCCTTTTTTTTCCTGGTCATACTTTCCTGTTTCTTTGCATGTGTCATAATTTTTTTGTTGAAAATTGGACATTTTAGGTCATATAGCAGCAACTCTGGGTACTGGTCTCCCACTTCTTTTAGAGCTTGTTGTTGTTATTTGCTTATTTGTTTAGTGACTGGATTATTGAAATATTCCCACTCCCCCACAGCTCCACAGTAAGAAGACTCCAATGTTGCTCCCAGGGGGAGTACAGCATTGGATAGGCTCACAGGCACCCTGCAATGGCAGTGGCTTTGGCAGTGCTCTGATTTTCTTTCCCTGACCACACCCAGCTGGTACCAGATCTTGTACCAGGTTTGATTTTTCCTTGGTGCTGTCAATGGAATTTAATTCCATTAATTGCAAGCTGATTGCTCTATTGTTTTCAACAATGTACTGGGGCATAAGTGGTTCCACAGACATATGCAATTAAATTTGGGTCTCTTTGAAGAGATAGTTCCTGAAGTCAATGCTTGAAATTTGTTCTGGCCCCAGGAGATCTCTTTCCCTGATTGTCTCTGGCAAACTAACCTGCCTGAAATGCTGCCTATGTCGCCAATGGATCTACCAATCTTCTAATTTGCTTTCACCAGAACCTCCCTAAGAGCATTTTTGTAAGTGGCTTAAACTTTTCCATCCTCTGTTGCACATGAAATCAGTTCCTTTGGGGAAAGATTTAGAGTTCTTTTTTTACAGTTTGTTTCTACCCCAAGCAAAATCTCTGAGCTGCAGCTCTGGAGCTGGGGTTGGGGACAATGGTGTGCTTTCCTGAATGACACCCCCACTTTAGGAGCTGAATGCTCAGTGGAGTGAGATGAATAGCCTCAGGTCTTCTTGGCTTATCTCTCCCAACATGGAAATTCTGCCTAAGGGTGATTGGGGCCCTGGCACACATTGCACAGCCACTGTTCTAAGAATGAGGGCTGGGTAGAAGGGAGTCTCCATCTCCGGGGGACATTCACCCAGAACTTGGCTTCAGCAACACGTAGTTTGGGGCAGGATAAGAAATGTCCCACCTGGGAAGATACTCCTTCAACTGGGAACTAGGGTGGAGGGTAAAGGAACCCTGTGTTCTTGGTTGAAGCTTTCTGGAGTGGAGTTTCAAACTTACTGAGTTGGGAGGGGAAAAGAAGAGAGTGGGTCTTGGTTCAAATACCACAGGCTCACTGTTCTTATTGAATTTTAGTGTATGTTCTTGAATAAATGTTTTTCATTTGCTGTATGCATTTTGGACCATTTCCGATACTTTAAATGCTTGTTTTAAAATTTTTCACTAGTTTCAATGGATAACAGGTTTGCAGAGTTCTTCACACTGTCATGCTGGAAGTGAACTGTCCTTCAGAATGTATAATGTTTTCTTTTAGAAAGTGATAATTTAATACATATAGATCTTCATAGAGAAATAGTTTTCTGATTTAACGTGCATATAGATCACTTGGGGAACTTGTTTACAATCCTGGGGTCCTACTCCCAGAGATTATGATTTTCCAGAACTAGGGTGGTAATCAAAAAGAAATCTGCATGTTTAGCAAGCTCCCTATGTGATTCTTTGACAAAAAATTATACTAAAAAGACTAATGCTTACTGGATAAGATTGAACTCTTCTTCTTCATTTTTTTAAAACAAGTTCTATGTCTACTAAGGGACTTTGCAGCTATGGCAGTGTCAAACACTGGCTACTTAAACATTACAATAGTGTGTGTGTGTGTGTGTGTGTGTGTGTGTGTGTTTACAACAAAATCTAGAAATTCTGACATTCTAAAAAATGCTGCCTGTTTGGAGATGGGAAGTGCCACAGAATCATGGTTTAGGGCTGCCAAGAATCAAAGATGACAGAGGGCTTGGGGCAAGGTTTCTCAGATTAGGGTTGGGAGATTAGAGTTGGGAGACCACCTGCCTGCCTCAGAATCTTGATTTTTCTCATACCAGATCTGATTTTTCCTTGGTGCTGTCATTTGTAACCTTCCCTCAAAACAAAGAGAGAACACACTGTAGTTTTTTTTCTGCAACTGGTCTGATTTGCACACCATCAAGTGGCAATATGTGCCTTTGGCGAGCAAATTAGTGGGATTAAAACAGCTATCAAGCATGCTGCAGCAGAAAGGATTCCTCCCGCCCAGCTGCACATTGTTATCACTACTGTGAATCCTCACAGTCATAATAGAAAATGAATATCATTTCATATTTTAAAACTCTAGACAGAAGCCATTAGCAATTTATTTTTCCCAAAGAACCAGCTAATTAAAATTGTAAATAAGATTGTGTTACGTTTGCATGTACTCCTGCGAGTCGCATGAAGAACCAGAACATAGATGGTTAGATGACTGTTCTGTGCATATTACCACCCAACTTCACTTCCATCTGCCCATACTCCCATCAGAGTAGAAGGCCACAATCAGGGGAAGGAAAATTTATGCAAAAGGCTTCCACAACAGAAGGCAGAATTAAACAAGAGGAAGGCCCCAGAGAGCTCAGGAAAGCTGGTTGTCTGAGGCACTGTAAGAAGCAACAGAAAATTTTCCTACTGGGTTTAGTAGGTGGGTTGTTGTTATTATTACTATTAATTGAAGATCAAAAGAACTGGGTTTCCCAGTGGGAAATTCAAAAACACATGTTATGATAAAAAATCTAAAGATCAACCAATTTTAACTTTTTTTCATTTTATTTATGTACCATATTTAGTAGGATATCACTCCCACACTCTTGGTATGTTAATAATTGATGGCCTCTCCTGGTACCAATTCATAGATAAAATTTAGAAAATTTCTGATTTTTCTTCTGTGATTTAATGATATGCAATTATTTCTTTTTATTACAGACTGAATAGCAGAGCCCCAAAATTTATATGTTGAAGTTCTAACCCCCAAGTACCATTAAAAACTGACTGCATGTGAAGATAGGGTGTTTAAATAGGTAATTAAGTTAAAATGAGGCCATTAGGGTGGGATCTAATCCAGTCTGAGTGGTATCTTTACATAAAAAGAGGAGGTTAAGACATACAGAGAGATACCAGGGTGTGTGCTCACAGAGAAAAGGCCACGTGGCAGCACAGTGAGAAGGTAGCCATCTGCCAGCCAAGAAGAGAGGCCTCAAGAGAAACTAAACCTGCCATCACCTTGATCTTGAACTTTTAGATTCCAGAACTGTGAGTAAACAAATTTCTGTTGTTCAAGCCACCCAGTCCATGACATTGTTATGGCAGCCCTAGCAAATTAATACTCTCAGTAATGGTCACCTTTGCTGGAATTGGGTCTTCAACCAATGTATAAACACTTGACATGTGAAAATAAAACAGAACAGGTAAGTTATTAGTTGATTATTTTCATTGACAAAATGATACACCTAGGACTTCTTTAAATTATAAGTTCTTTGGTACATTATAGAGTTACTTCAATTCACAGGCCATTAATTTCTATCAATGAATGAACAATCAACATTAAGTCAATGCAGATGGTTGATTGAAAAATGTACCTGACCTGACCACCCCCTCATCTAAATTGGGTCCTTTTCTTAAACTCTGTCCTAACATCCCTTACTCTTCCAACATAAGACTTATTGGTTTGTAATTATATATTTATTTGTGAGATTATATACTTAACATCTATCTCTCCGCTGGACTCTCCATGAGACATAATCATCTCTGTCTTGTTCACCACTATATGCTCAGTATCCAATACAATGTCTGATCTTTAATTATATGTTAAATGAGTGAATAAAGAAGAGATAAGGTTCTTAGAACCTTAAGTTGGGGAGGTTGATTGACAGGTTTTAGGATTCCCCTGAATCTCCGGAAACTGTCTTTAAAAATGTGTTTATGCATACATTTCTCTGAAGAGAGGATTCACAACCTTCATTTGATTTCAAAGGGATCTGTGAACTACCTGAAACATAAGGAACCATTGGCCTATTTCCGTGTGGTAAAATAAGATTCAATACCAAAAGACTTACCTGCAGCCTAAAACAAAGTATGCTATATGTACATTTACATGAATGGATGTGTGGGTATATGTATATGTGTGTGTATAATTTCCAAGAACGGAAACGCTGCAGTGAATCTACACAACAATCCACATTCCCACTTCCCCTGAGTAACTGATCATTCCTGTAGTCACTGAGTTCGAGCAGTAGCCACTTGCATACATGTGTTTCTTGGCAGCAACATCCATCACCCAGGCCAGAGAAAAGGAATCTGTAATTCCCTCTTTTCACCTGCTTGGGATGCTGACCTCCCTCTTTGCAGGAAGTTTCTTTTAATAACAAACCTTAAACCTCCCATTTAACAAAGGCACCAGGTATGTTTATCAAGCACAGGCGGGCAAGCAATTTGATCCAAAAACCCTGGGATTTCCCTTCCCTTACCCTGAAGCCAGAGAGGAGATCCAGCCTAATCAGGCCAAGGAAGCCTCTGAGTGCTGTGTGCATTCACAGTGAGGGAGGCTACAAGATTGGCTGGGACACACTAATTGGCTGTTGCATACTAAATCTCTTCTCTTCTCTCTCCAGTTCCAGAAGATACTTCCCTTCAGTAAATTTCCTCCCTTATTTTTGTCCTAAAAAATGGAGACTTCAACAGTAAATCTGTCTGAAGAAAGGTTTTTGATGTGCTGTTAACTCTCAGTTATCCACACTAGCAGAGAAGAGCAGTTAATTCAAAGATAATTACAGATAATTCAAAACCAAAGGCTCTTTTGATTTAACTTTGCAGTTCACTGTTTCTAGGGGCTTGGTGGTGGATTTACCTCCCTAATTATGGTTGTCTTTGTTGCTTATTAAAATGAGTTTGTCTGCCTTAGGGCCAGGCTGTTGGGTAATGTGAAAATTCTGGCACAGAATTTGTAAAACTCACCAGGGAAAATCCACAAGGCACACAAATAATCAGACTTGACTAGATTTGAGTTCACGTTCTTAATCACCTGTTACCAATTGCTTTGCTGCTCTACACTAAAGGGAGACAGAAATGAGAAATATCTACAGGAGACCAGTGGGAAGAAAATGAGTCTTTACACTGAGATGAAGACACAAGACTGTGTTGTGGCCAAGACTGATAACACAATCAGTGTTGATGATTTCCCTGCCTGGTCTCATAACCTTCATCTCTGCAGCCAGAGTGATCTTTCTATGCAAGTCTCATGATGTTCACCTCTACCTAACATCTTTCAGTGTGCTAGTCATTAGAGCTGTTCACAACCATCCTGCTCTCTCTTTCCCAGCACGTGATAGGACTGCACAATGTCCCCAGCCACTTCAAATTGGACGTGGTTCTGTGACTGGCGTTGGCCAACGGAATGTGAGCAAATGTATCACTTCTAGTTGGAAAGTTTCAGAGCCAGCATGTGTCCAGCATGTGTCCTTGGGTACATGCTTTGCCTGGCAAGACTGGCAGCATCTGAGCTGGCAGATCTGAGCTGGTGACTATACCATCAGCCCAGGTCTCTCTGGGTGGCTATGATAAGCAGAGCTCCTACAAGCTAGGGATGGGTGTGTGGTAGGAACAATAAACAAACCTCTGTTGTTTTCAACCACTGACATTTTAAGGTTCTTGGTTAACTCGGCATATCTCTATCACTGCACATATCAAGCTGCACCATGATTATCTACTTTTCTTTCTCTAGCTAGACAGTGAACAACTTGAGGCCAGAATTATTTAATTAAAAGTAATGGCAAAAGCACAATTACTTTTGCACCAACCTAAAATATTTCTTCTCCAGTGTGTTAACTCTAGTGCATAGCATATTTAAAAGAGCCTGGTAGACAATGAAATTCTCTTCCTTCTTGGCCTCTGTGATTCACCTTGTTTCTGTTTTTCTAACACTTGCCCCACTCCCAACATCACCAGCTACAATGATAAGCTGTCTTTGTTTTTCAGATATATGAGGAATGGTGGAGCTATTCTTCTGGACCAATAATTCAAGTAGAAAGAGCTGGTGGAGGAGATAGGCATTCTGAGGCTGCAGGAGTTTGAAATACAATGGCTTCAAAGAGCAGACACAATTTTGAAATAAAATCTTGGGGTAGCCACGCAGGAAAACAAAAATATATCCCGAAGTGTTAGGTTTATGAGGGATAAGAGTGGTCATCTGGAGTGAACTCCTCCATCCTTATCATTATCATAACACCAGCATTTACTGATGACTTACTATGTGCCAGGCACCGTTCTCATTGTTTTACAGTTAACACATTAAATCCTTACAACAACCTTATATGGTAGCTATTATTATTTCCATTTTATACATAAGGAAACTGAAGCATAGAGAGGTAAAGTAAGTTCTATCTGGCCAAACAGTTAGCAAACATCCCTCTCTGAGTGTTCAGCATCTGCCTGAACACTGCTCATCATGGAGAGCTCACTGTCTCCCACTGCATCCCACCCCACCTCCTGCTCCAAGCCACATCCTGCCGCCCCTTCAAACTGCCATCCCCTGAACATTTCTGCCTTCTAAACAAACATAAAGCAATTCTACCCTTTTCTCTTTAAGGCAGCCCTTTAAATATTCGAAGGCAGAAATCACATGTCCCTTAGGGTTTCTCTTCCCCAGTCTAAACAGCCCCGGGTCACTCAACCATTTCCAATGTGCCACAGCTTGAGGCCCCTCACCATCCCCGATCAGTGACTCACACATGCTGGGGACCAAAAAACGTTGGCTAAGTCAGTGAAGTGGAACTGGTGGAACTCGCCCTTCTAGACTTGAGCTGAGCCAATGCCTCCTGCAACCCGGGACACATTCTTTCACTGTGTAAAGCAGGATCTGGAGGCATAATCTGCTGCAGGAACAGCTGGCTGGCCACATGCCCTGCACTCATCCCCATTCCAACAAATGGAACACCAAAGGGTCAGCATGTTCACAGTTCTTCCTCGGGTGGAAAGTCTGTTTCTGTCCCTCCTCCCACTTCTCCCCACTCTCCCACTCCCAGAGGCAGTGCTGAGAACAGCCCCTCAGCTCACCATGGAGTTCATGGCAAAGTGATTGTGCTGCGTCTGGAGGTCAAGGGCGTACTGGTAGCTGACTCCGATCTCCGTGTGGCTCTGGAGGAATAACTCCTTGTTGTGGCTTATCCAGTCAAACATCTAGAGAGGACAAGAAGGCACAGCATAATCAGAATGGTCATGGGTCGAATAGGGCAAAACTTTCAGAGCTAGTGGAAGGGGAAAAAGCTCTCCTGCTGGTGCTCAGTGAGAACCAGTTATTGTTCTGAGTCTCGGGGTCTTAATGGGGTGGGCCACAGCCTGATTTCTCAGGAGAGCCCTCACTTTTAGCGTAAGACCCCACCAGCAGCCGCTGTGTTGCATTACAGAGCCTAAGGGAAAAAGAGAAAATGAGTGAGATAATTGGGAGATGGGAGAGGAAGCTGTTTACCATTACCAGCATGCTTGCTTTAGGGACAGGTGCTGAGGAGACAAGCTGGGAGGCTTAATGCATCTCCTGCCGCACTAGTAGAAGAGAGAAATCTTTGAAGGAAGCAACAGGGACATCCTTACTCGCCTCTGCCCCCCTTATACACTGCCCAGCCACACACAATGTTGAATTGATTCTGAAGTGAATCAGCTTTTCTCATAACTCTACAGCCTCACAATTCCTGGGTTTCTGCTATAACCCACTGGGAAGCAGAAGATGAGGGTTTTAAGCGTAGTATAAGTACCACCTGGTGCTAGCACAGTGGGCATTAAGCCATCTTCCTCCTCCTAGCTCCATACCCTGGTTTTCACTTAGGTATCCAGCCCTCTTCCAGGCAGCCCACATACTTCAATGGGAGCTGACCAGAACCCCTGGCTTTTTGGGACACCAGACCTAAGCCAAACAGTGCATGACATTTCCCAACCAATGGGATTGTCTCAGATATAAGAATGTGATCCAATTTAGTACAATAAAACATGAGGGAAGTTTGCTAGAAACTTCTAGGAAAACAGAATCCTAGTTATTTAGTTATGGCTTCTCTTCTTCCAGTATTGTTGTATGTGGCTCTGACCTCAAATTGCTGCAGCCATTCTTCTGGCAGCCTGAGGGTGAAGCCAATGGGTAGAGAAAGGGTGGAGCCAAGACAACTGCAGGAAGCAGGCAGAGCCCTGGCTGAGCATTGTCTGGTTTCCACTTTGTCTCTGGACTTCCTTGGACCTGAGCCAAGAAATCCTCTTTATTATTAAAGCCAGTTTAAGTTGGACTTTCTGTAATATTCTGTCCAGAGCAGGAAATTCTACTATTTTCTCCTTAAGGCAGCCCTTTAAATATTTGAAGATAGCCATCACATGTCCCTTACAGTTTCTCTTCCCCAAGGGGATGCGGACTGGAAGGGAAGAGAAAAATGGTTAGGAGGCTGCTACAGAAATCCTGATGTGGGTGAGGACCTGGAAACTCAACCATTTCCAGTGTGCCACAGCTCGAGGCTCCTCATCATCTCAGCTCAGTGACTCACACATGCTAGGGACCAAAAAACAATGGCTAAGTCAGCAAAAGCCAAGAAAGGTGTGAAAGAGTATACTTGGAGAAGAGAACTGCACTACTTAAGCCTCACAATCCATTTGGGATGGACTAAAGGCCACAGCCCAGTTGCAGAGTGAAGCAGGAAACAGCTGAGAACAGAAACAGGCTAAGAAGTGGCCATGATTGCACCAGCTCTCTGGAGCCAGAACTGCAGCCTTATCCAATTATGTCCCTTGAACAGAAGAGTGAGTTACTACTTCAATTACATTCAACCAGTATTTATGGGATACCTGCTATGTGCCAGGGACCGCTGGAGGTGGCATGAGGCAAAAATGACTAAAATATGGTTCTTGAGTATTAGTGGCTTAAAGGCTAATGTGGAAAGTTGACATGGACTCAGATACAACTTTATTATAATCTGGCACACAATGTGATTAAAATTACAACTCAAAAAAACATCTACTGATAAGATAGAGGTGAATATTGGCTGTTGAGGGAGCACAGAAGAGGCCACCTCACCTATCCTTGAGGAGTGAGATGGGGAAGAGCAGAGAAGGCTTCTCAGAGGAGGTGACACCTGAGTCAAACCTTGATTCAGATAGGAATCAGCCAGATGAAGGCCAGTGGGATGCATGCTCAGGCAAAGCGACAGAACTGGGATAGCCCACTGTGTCGAGGGCAATGAAGGGTCCTCAGCTGTGTTTCTGGAGCCTGACATCAAGGAGGAAGTGTGGCTGGGGAGGCAGGTGGGACAGACTGACCACAAAGAGCCTTGCACACAGGCTTCAGGGAACCTGGACCACACATTGTCGGCTGCCAGGTGCTGGTGGGAGGTTTTAAGCTGGGTAGTGAAGTGTGAAGTGAGCTTTGATGACAGTGAGGGATGTGGACTGGAAGGGAAGAGAAAATGGCTAGAAGGCTGCTACTGAAATCCTGACGAGGGCGAGGACCCGGAGTCCTGGATTACGGGAGTGGCAGTAGAGTCTGAGAAATTGGCAGATTTGAGAGCTACTGGGAGCAGGATTGGGGACTTAGTTGTTTAGAGAGGAGAAGGTGGGGAAGAGCTAGAGAGAACAGCCAGGCTTCTGGCATGGCACCTGAGTCCTGGTAATAAAAAGTACCACCACAGATGCTGCCTAAAGAAGAAGGTAAGAAGCTTGGGTGGGAAATTGTATGTTCCGTTTTAGATGTGCTGAGTTTGGGAGGCCTGTGAGAGTTTCAAGGGGAGGTATCCAGTAGGCAGTTAGATTTGTGTCTAAAGGTCAGGAGAGAGACATCAGGGCTGTAACAACTCACACTTAAGTATAAAAACATCACCTTCCAAAGGCAAACGTGCATGATTTGGAGATTATTCTCCCTTTTGAATTACACTTCCATCTACTTACACCAACAGTAAAGAAAGGACGAAAGGACCATTCTTTACTTCTGAGTGTCAGAGAATTTATTTCAGGCTGGGGCTCCTGTAGAGGTTGGGTCGATATTTGTGCTGTGTGCACTATCCTGGGTCCTCCAGCCTCAGCTACCCTCACATCACAGGCATTTGTTCAGGGCTTTTATTTTTTCTTCTTTAATTATTATTAAGGACAAGAAGGAAAAGAAGACAGGAATTTAGAGGACTCTGATTCTATAATTTTTATCTTTAGAATTCTGCCTCCCAGCCCTATTTTAAAATAATTTCTCATTTCTTTTCTTTATTGACAAAAGAATCAATAAAGTTAATGAAAGTCTGAAATGCCTGAAGTCCTTAGAACTTGTGATGAAAAGCGCTCACTCCATACACTTTCTTGGATGTTTCAGTGGCCGATTAGTGACCTTCCCTGTATGTTATGTTAAATGGTCACTTAGATATGCAAATAAGCAGATGAGTTATGTGCTGGCACCAGAATGATTAGATTGCTCAGCACCAGATCCCTCAACCACAGAGTAGGGAAAGCTGAACACAGGCCAATTAGGGTGGAAAGCAATATAAAAATGAGTTAAAGACAGGTGAGAGTTGAGAGTGCTGAAGGAACTGTGCACCTTGCTGAATCAGCTTCTTACAAAATGAGGTCTGCGCCCATGCCATCCCAACTGATTTTGCCTCCTACATTTGGAGCATACAAGCTTGTCACTGGGGTCTGGGACATTCTGGAAAAGTTTAGCTTTCACTGGAGGTGGCGCTCCAAAGAGGTGATACACATCTCAGTAGAGAGAAAAAGACCTGCTCTGGGGATTAGATGGTCTCATGTGATGTCAGGAACCAAGGTTTCCTAAGGGACAATCACAAATCTTCTCTAGACCTAAACTTGCTGCCTACTAGCATATAATCCTCACCCCTGCAAGGCTGGCTGTCTGCAAGGTTCATAGTCATCTCTGTTACATTCAGTGGAACTGGCTGCAGAGGCAGAATGTGTGCATACATGAATGCATGCGTGTGCATGTATACATACAGTCAAGTGAGATGAAGACTACACTGGTTCCAGGCCCAGCTCTGTCACTAACTCCACATGAGACTGTGGAAAAGTCACTTCATTTCTGATCTTCTCCTCATTTGAAGAGATAGTGGTTTGCAGAATGGAGGCAAGCATCCTGGTTTATAATACGCACAATTTGGAAATGTATAGAATGCATTTTTTCCACCCAAAATAAAAAATAGTTTTGTTGATTCTCCTGGATCAGAAGATATATTCATTGCTACAACTTACATTTCTATCTTTTTGAATAAAATAATGTCAGTGAGAAAAATGGCATTGTTTTATAGCCAGAGAAGCTTCTGGATTTGGTGGTGGGTGCCTGTAATCCCAGCTACTTGGGAGGCTGAGGCAGGAGAATCACTTGAACCCGGGAGGCGGAGGTTGCAGTGAGCTGAGATCATGCCACTGCACTCTAGCCCAGGGAACAGTGCGAGACTCCATCTCAAAAAAAAAAAAAAAAAAAAAAGAAGAGAATCTTCTTAGTCTCAGCCCTGACAATTGTGTGATGCTTTAGAGTTCAAAATGTCCACTCACCCTTCATCATTACATTGCATCCATAAAACAATCCCACAAGGTGCTATCATCAGGCCCACTTCCCAGGCAGGAAAACAGGTTCAGGGAAGTAAAGTCCAGGGTGTAGATTTAATTCATTCTACCCAAGGCTACATTCACTGAGTGCCCACTGAGCCATGCTTTGGGGACACCGCCCTGCCTCCCACTCATATGGCTGTAAGACTTTCTCTGCTTGAGCTCCCCAGGGCAGTTATCCCTAAAAGTTAGCTGAAAGGGCAGCTGTAGATGTCCGTGTAATAATCTCTTCAGAACCTGAATGATCTCTTACCCCAGATGGTACTCTATCTGGGGTAAGGTGCTATTCCTCAGTTGGAACACTTCCCTGTCAATATCTAGCCTGCTCCTCCTTCTCTACCTCCTCTTTCTTCTCCTCTTCCTCCACTGCCTGCCCCACCAAGATGGAGTGCCAGGTGTCTGGGGATGGCTGATTCAAATAGCTCTAGTTCTCTCAATACTCACTGAATGAATGAATGAATGAATGAATACTATGAGTTGGTCATAGGTTATTCGGTTGCTAGTCTCCAGATAAGTGGACTCTTTCTAAGCTCCCTTCCAGCTAGGACATTTTAAACTAAAAATATCTCCAAAGTGCCTTCAAACTTGTCTTTGTTTTTTGAGAAGCCACAAATGGTGAGTTCAGCAAAGTGTAATATAACAAAAAAAATTCTACAAAGAGGAAAGTTCGTGTCTAAATAATGAAATTGTATCTCTTTGAAATTAACATAGTTTAGTCTCATTAAGAAGATAGATGTTACATGTAAGTCATTTGGGGTTTTTTTTTCCTTTTCTTTTGGGGTTTTGTTTTTAACCAAGCTAAGTAATTTTTTTTTCTGCTGGCTAAAATCCAGTGAAAATATACAAATCTAGTTCTTAATACAGTAAATGTTAAATGAATCTACTTAAATGCAAATTAGGAAAACAAACAGAAACCTTTTTCTCCTTTCAATAATAGGAATAGCTAAAATGTTATTATTGTTCTTTTTTTAAGAAGCATAAATTATTTCATAGGACAAGTATATTAAGAATCTTATGTTTATTTTCCTTCATTTGCCAAATTTAGCAATAGCATCTGATTTAGAGTTTTAACTTTCAAACCACCTTATTATCTATTGTTAGTATTTTATACTCTAATTATAGATTACATTGGTATTAAATATGTTCATATTCAGCTTTGATGAGCTGATTAAGAGGACACAAGACAACCAATGGCTTTTCTTTGCCTAAATATGTGCATCCCAATATCAATCATGTTCACTATACCCTGTGTACACTACAGTGGTGCATCCATAAAAGCTTGTGCCCTAGAGAGAACTAACAACCTCCTTGCGGGTGAACCTTGTTATATCTGGGAAACTAGCCGCCCAGTCAATTCCAAAATAAAATTGTATGAGTGTTAGAGCGCAAGGAACAGAATTCAAATCAGTACAGACTCTGCTGTATAAACTTTGACAAGTTTTATCATTGGTCTGAAATTCAGTTCCTTATCTATAAAATGTGGGTAATAATTTAAACTACTTAAACCTTAGGGTATCAGGGAGATTCAAATAAAATGATGGCTATGAAAATGCTTTGTTAAGTGCTACATATATGATAGATTCTGAAATCTGCATATGAGCATATATTCTATTGCACATATTTCCTAAATGTTTTCATTATAGTAAAAAACAGATGAAAGGTATGAATTTAAGATTGCAGTAAATGGGGAATCACACCTGCAGCTCATATGCAAACACATCCACCGCCCACCCACCTAGACATGCACCCCCAGAGTGACCGCAGGGCACCGCACAGACACAGCCCAAAGGTGCCTGTCCATCCTCCCACCACCTCCACCTTCACGCACTCAGAGACCCAGACACCCTCTCAGGGCTCTGCCTGAGGGCACTGGTGCCTTCCTGCTGTCCCTGGGTGGCCTGACCAGGGAATCTTACTTCCTCTTGGCTTGCTTCCAGACTCTCCCTTCCCCACCCTCTCTGCTACACCTCAACTCTCACTATTAGAGACTCAGTTCCTTTGGCTCTTAACAGTTTTTCACTCAGGTGAGATGCCTATTAAAATGCAATTTTTCATGCAATCCCTCCTGGAATTAGCTTATCCTGAATATAGAAACAGTTTAGTAGGAGGGCAAGGTCCTTTGTGAACATGGCCCAGGGATGAGATCCTACAAAGTGGCAGAGAGGTCCTAGAGAGTAGGAGGGAAGCCCTAAAATAGACGTGAGAATCAAAGGCAAAATCTCCCCACTTTACAATTTTGCTTTCATGGAACTTGGACTGACCCAGGACACATTTTCTTGTGCAAATAGGGCAACACACAGACCTCATAAAGGACCCCAAAATGTGGAGTTTTCTCCAGGTTCCAAGAATTCCTTACTGAAAGAATGTGACATCTCACCTCTTTCGTATCCTGCAAACCCTGCAGACCACAGAGTATTTAGGTTCTGAAGAGATCATTACACGGACATCTACAGACGGGGGAGGCAGCTGGGATATGGGCCTGAGAGGCTGTAGGTGTAATAAATATCTCTTGAAGCTCTGCTTGTTTCCTTCGTGTTTTTGGCATGTCAGTTGGCATACTTTTATATATTGTGTAAAAGAGAAGCCATTTTTGTCTTTTGTCATAAATCCAGTCTGCTCAAGGAAGGACAGCACAGCCTGGTTACCTGGGAGACACTTTCACTGTATCCTCAGTAACTGGCCAGGATGCCAAACATCTCACTGACCAGGCCACGTCTCTGATCTGTAAACATGCTACGGATCCCCTAACTCATTTCTTACACCTTCCATACCCAAATTCCTTAAATCTCAAATCCCATGTCTAACACCCTTACATGTTCCTCACAATCTAGAACAGGTCGGATTTCTCTGTGAAACAGCCAAATATCCCACTACGAGCAAAGGGTTAACAAAACCCTTTCCCCTCTTACATGGTAATTTGACCTTCAGTTAACATCCAAGTTCAGCTTCCCTGAAAACAGATAAAAGATGGTATGTGCCAACATGTTGCTAAATCATGTTTCTTATGGTAAAAAAAAAATCCCCTGCTTCACAAATTTCATCTTGATTGGGAGGAACTGTAAGTGAACTGCAAATACCTGATGGGTACACCATAGCTTGGACATCCCTGAGGTGGTGATTTTTATAACTGCAATGTTCATTGCAGAAACTCTGGAAGCTGTGCCAACGGAGTTGTTACCAAACATACTGGTTCCCATGGGGCATGGAGTTTATAAGCCATGGCAGCTCCTACAGCTGCCCAATGCAGATCTTACCTCCTTGCACCTAAGCCGATGGCTGAGCTGAACTGCTGCAAGCACTGCTCTGCTGGCAAGCTGTGGTTCCCATCTTCTATCATTCTCAGTAGATCAGTACCCAAGATGGCCCATGGTAGTCTCATAAATCTGAGTGTTTAGTGGGACCTAAGAAGACTCCCTGGTAGGTGTTGTGCTCATATTTTAGAGCCAAACTATACCTACAACAGTATAAACCTCTTGTCTTCTTTTTCTTCCTCTTCCCTTCTCTCCATAACAATTTATCTCCATGATATGTTAATGTTATCTCCATAACATCAATGATGATGACAGTTATGACGATTCCAACAACTAAGATTTGTTAAATGCTCACTATGTGACAGGTACTGTACTAAGCACTTTATATATATTAACTCACTTAATCCTCCTAATAACCTCATAATTATCTCCCCAATATTAACCCTCAATATCATCATCTCCCTTTTATGAATTAGGAAACTAAGGCACCAAGAAATTAATTAACTTGTCTAAAGCCACACAGCTAATAAACATCAGAGTCAAGGTTTCAAACCCAGGAGGTCTAGTTCCAGAGTTGATGCTCTTAACTCTGCTGCTAAACCCTCCAATGAGCCCGGAGCTTCCTTCTGTCTCTCCTTCTCTTCATCACCAGACTTTCAGAAGTGTGTTCTGCCCCTACTGCCTTTGTTTTTCCTCCATCCAATTCCTCCTTCAGCCCTTAAAATATGGTTGCTTTTACTACTTTCTTGAGTTGACACCCACGATGAAACCCAGTCACTTCCTAGTTTCTGAATTCTTTATTCTGTCAGTTCTCACTCACTTTGACCTCGTGTCAGAATCAGATGCAGTCCTTTCTGAAATTCCACCCTGTCTGCCCCCCAAGACCAGGTAATTTTCAGCAGCAGCCCATCTGGCTTCAGACATGATGAGTGTCTCTTCCTGCTTTCACAAGTCTCTAGACTTGTAAACATTTTCTCTGGAGAATCAGTGTTTTCACATACTTGAATTTTCTTCCTTGACACATCATATCTAGTCTCAGCATGACAAAAATGACAGGAAAACTCTAATTTTGAAAGCTTACCAATCCTCCAATCCTACAATGACTTATCTAAACTTACCTCCCACTTCCCTGGCTGCCAATTTGTGGCTTCCTTTTGTGTCCTTCACAGCCTATTGTGACAATCTAAACATGGACCTCAGCCCTTTACCCTTCATCCATCAAACCCTCTCCATGTGAATATCCACCCGGGCCCACAACTTCAACAACAATAATACTATGTCTTATTTCATGTGCCTGTGCCAAGAGCCTTCATAGTGTATGTCACATAATCCTCATAATAATGCTACAAAGAAGATATTGTTAATTCCATTTTAAACATGGTGAAAACTCAGTATTAAGAAGCCAAATAAATTGGCTAAGATCCCACAGCTTGTAAGTGATGAAGATAAATTGGACTCTAGTGTCCATCTGAACCTAAATCCCATGCAAGTTCCTGTTTCATAATGCTCTCTAACAATAACTTCCCAGATAATTGACAAGAATAAATACATGCCAGGCTCTACACAATGAGGTTTACACACATTATCTCAATCCTCATAACAGCCTTATGAAGTAACAGATGCCATAATCACCACCTTTTTATTTATTTTTTTTTTAGGTAGAGAAACAGATTCAGAGAGATTAAGTAACTTGGTCATGGTCACACATTCTGGGTGGCATATTAAAGACTCAAATCTAGGTCCACATAACTCCAAAAGTCATGCTTTTAAACCATTAAATGGTCTCCCCAATACAGACTTAAATCCTGGACTATCTATAGTCACACAGTGCCTGCTATGGTTTGAATGTGCCCCCAAATTTCATGTGTTGAAAACTTAATCCCCAAGTTCATATGTTGATGGCATTTAGAGGGGAGGCCTTTGGGAGGTAATTAGGATTAGATGAGGTCATCAAAGTGGGACCCCCCCCATGATGGAATTAGTGACTTTAGAAGGAGAGGAAGAGGAACCTGAGCTAGCACACTTGCCCTGTCTCAACATGTGGTGCCTTCTGCCATGTTATGATGCAGCAAGTAGATCCTCACAGGATGCTATAAGCTCTTGGACTTCCCAGCCTCCAGAACCATGAGCTAAATAAATCTTTCTCTATAAATTACCTAGTCTCAGGCATTATTTTATAGCAACAGAAAACAAACTAAGACAGTATCTATGGACTCAATATTAATATCCTCTTAATGTTCCACAAGCATCTCAAAACTACTAATTTTTCCTGCCTTCCCACATCTTCGCGTCATCCCTCAGAGCTAACTTTTTCTCTATTTTCTCAAATAACTCTGGAATATGCCTTTTACTTCCATTATTGCTGCTACTCATCCCTCAGCCCACCCTGCCTAGATAATAAATTACAAATACTTGCCTATTTGGCCCCCTTACTCCATTCTGTCCCTTATACTAAGCCATCGGACCCCATCAGGTTCACTGCACTAATACATTGCTTTCCCGTGTCATTATCTCAGTCAAAATAATAAAAAGAAAACAAAAACCAACCCCTACTATTGCTGATACCTACAATGAAAAATCCAATCTTCCTAACCAGGTATTTGAGGCCTCTCTCAACCCCAGACTGGTCCAAATCTACATTATTATTTCACATCACAGTCCTATTCCAAGTATCTTTTGCAGCCAAATTGTTTTATTCACTGCCATGCAGACACACTATATTATGCTCATTCCATCCCTATATTGGTGTCCACATTTCCCCCCACCATGAAATACCCACACTCAAATCTCCAGATTATTCCCATCCTTCAAAATTGAAGTCTCATCTCCTCCTGATGCCTTTCTTGACCAAATAAGCCCATACTGACTTCTTTTTCTTGGAAACTCATTTCTCTAGTGTTTACCATAGTAGTTCACAAACATAGCCTTAATTTAGAACTATCTGAAATGTTTTCTTAAAAAATATAACTTCCTGGCTGGGCATGATGGCTCACACCTGTAATCCCAGCACTTTGGGAGGCCAAGGCAGGTGGATTACCTGAGGTCAGGAGCTCGAGACCAGCCTGGCCAACAAGGCGAAACCCCATCTCTAATAAGAATACAAAAAATTAGCCAGGCGTGGTGGCAGGCACCTGTAGTCCCACCTGCTGGGGAGGCTAAGGCAGGAGAATCACTTGAACCCAGGAGGTGGAGGTTGCAGTGTGCCGAGATCACACCACTGTACTCTAGCCTGGGTGACAGAATGAAACTCTGTCTCAAAAAACAAAAATTAAATATATATATTAAATATACATAAAAATTAAATATATAAAAATTATATACATATATATATATATATATATATATATATATATATATATATATATATATATATATATCTTCCTAGGCCCTACCATTGATTTTCTGATTCCATAGAAGCTCTCCAGGTAACCTCAATATACTTGCATTTTTATTTAAAATGTTCACGTGGAGACTTATGGTCTGTCCCTGACTAAGTAGCTGGTATCATATTTAACCCTACTGTCTATTAGCTATTTGAAAGGCATTGGTCAATAACCAAGATAGACCAATGATCCTTGAAAGGGAGAAAGCATACAGTGTAAGTTCCATATTCACCTCAGCTTTCTCCCTGAGGATATTTTCCTAACTGTGGAGCGGAGAAGTAGAAGCCAAGCAGAGGGCAGGAATAGTCTTGATGGATGTAAAAAATGGGTATCAGCGTTCAGGGACTGGTAAGGAGGCTGAGATTTGGGTGACAGGATATTACAGTGGAGGGAGATGCAGAGGAGCTACCTTAAAGTCTTCACTAAAATTTCCCTCAGGTCCTTAGCCAAATCCCAAGCTTTGCATATGCAGGACAAGACTCCAGAAAGTCTAGCAGAGAACAGGTATGAGAGGTGGGGCATATTAAGAGCTAAAAAGAAATTTTAGAGGTCACACAGTGCTGGGGAAATGCTGGGAGTTCTAATTCAAACAGAGTAGAGAGGCTTTCATGAGCTCTCTGGGCATTCATTTGTGACCCCAGAAACACCAAGCTATAGGAATAAGAGCCACATGTTTAGAATAAGGGCTATACACTAGGATTAATAAAAAGATAAAAATATACCTACCATACCAAAGTCTAAACCAAGGCTCAATTAGATCAATATAATCTTTTGTAATTTAATTGTATTCTTGAATAAGACTTTAAGATATTTAGGGAAAGATAAACTATCAAGAGCCTCTACAGTGTATCATCTACAATATCCACTATACAATGTAAATTATAAGATATATAAAGAGACAGAGAAAAATTACTGATAATCAAAACAATAAAATTGTCTATAGAAGATGATCCAGATATGAATTAGCAGACAAGGCTTTCAAAATAACTATGATTGACATCTTAAAAAAATGGGGGGAAGGGACAAAATGGATTAAAAAATGGAATGTTCCAATGGAGAATCATAATCTATAAAAAGAATTGTATGAACATTCTAGAATTGCAGAGTATAATACTGAACTTAAGAATTCACTGGATGAGTGTAATGGCAGAATAGATGCAGCAGCAAGCAGGATGAATGAACTTGAAAACAAATCAATAGAAAACAGCACACTGGGCAGGGTGCAGTGGTTCATGCCTGTAATCCCAGCACTTTGGGAGACCAAGGCAGACAGATCACAAGGTCAGGAGTTTCAGACCAGCCTGGCCAACACAGCAAAACCCTGTCTCTACTAAAAAGACAAAAATATAGCCAGGCGTGGTGGCAGGCGCCTGTAATTCCAGCTACTAGCTACTCGGGAGGCTGAGGTGGGAGAATTGCTTGAAACCAGAAGGCGGAGTTTGCAGCACAAAAAGGGAAAGGGGAAGAGGAAGGGGAAGGGGAAGAGGAAGGGAGAAAGAGAGAGAGAGCAAGAGAGAAAGAGAGGAAGAGAAGAAAAGAAAGAAAGAAAGAGAAAAAGAGAAAAGAGAAAGGAAGGAAGGAAGAAAGAGAAAGAAAGAAAGACGAAAGAAAGGAAAGAAAGAAAGGAAAGAAAGAAAGAAAGAAAGAAAGAAAGAAAGAAAGAAAGAAAGAAAGAAAGAAAGGAAGGAAAGAAAGAAAGAAAACAGCACACTGAAGCACAGAGAGAAAAGCAAATAGAAGCACAGGACACAGCAGAAGAGATGTGGGACATAACTAAAAGATCTAGTACAGTGCCGTCCAATACAACCTTCTGTGATGACTGACATGTTCTATGTCTGTCCTGTCCAGTTGGTTTGCCACTAGGTGCCTTTTGAATATTTGAAATGTGGCAAGTGAAACTGAGAAACTGAGTTTAAAATTTTATTTTTAAGCAGGGTGCAGTGGCTCACGCCTGTAATCCCAGCACTTTGGGAGGCCCAGGCAGGTGGATCATCTGAGGTCAGGAGTTCAAGACCAGCCTGGCCGACATGGCAAAACCCCATCTCTACTAAAAATACAAAAATTAGCCAGGCATGGTGGCGTGCACCTGTAATCCCAGCTACTTGGGAGGTTGAGGCAGGAGAATCACTTGAACCCGGGAGGCAGAGGTTGCAGTGAGCTGGGATCATGCCACTGCACTCCAGCCTGGGCAACAAGAGTGAAACTCTGTCTCAAAAACAAACAAACCAAAAATTTTATTTTTAATTAATTTTTTTATTTGTATAAATTTAAAGGATACAAATGCAATTTTGTTACACGGATAGATTGCATAGTGGTGAAGTCTTGGAGCTTTCAGTGTATCTATCACACCATAATAGTGTATACTATACCCACTAAATTTAATTAGCCAGATGTGGCTACTGACTGTCCTGTTGGGTAGTGTAGTTTTAACACAGGCATACTTAGAGTTCCAGAGGAAAGGAGAGAGAAAATGGGACATGATAGACTCTAAGGATAAGAAGGATATACTACTCCTTCTAGAGTAGTATATTGAACATTGATTCCCTAACATCCAGTTCACCCCAGATCATTTGTTCAAACCAGTCATACTAATTTCACTCCCCTTTTTATTTACATGTTCAGGATTGGGCAAGTCTTAATGAGTATGAACCAACGAAATTGAGGAGAGATTTGCTTAGAGCTTCTGGGAAACAGAAGTCAATGTCTGTGTTTCTCCCTCCTTCTCCTGCTACCCCTATCACTTGGGGAAGAGTGAAGCATGTTGCTCTGTTACAACTGGCAGCTGTCTTAGAACCATGAAGGGAAACAGCCTTGCAAGGAAGTTCTCGGCCAAACAGTGAGATCTCAGCAGAGGAGTGAGATAGAAAGAATCCTGAGTGCCTGAAGATGGGCTCGCACTGATTCATCAATCTTGAAGCTCACATCATTGTCTCTGAATGACTACTTAAAATGTGAAATAATACATTTCCTTGATATTTAAGCAAATTTTACTGTCTTCTGTTTCTTGAAGCCCAAAGCATTCTGATACCAAGAGTCACACCCTCATGATGTTTAGTGTGATTGTTCATTCACTTATTGAGCACTCGTATTCCAGACATTGGGTTAGACACGGGTGATAAAAGATCAAGGCCACGGTCTAGTGAGGGGGACAAACACATTCCATATTCTGTTAATGTTAATAAAATGTGAAAAATACTATAAGAGACGTATACTGTGGGCTGACAGTAGAGGAGCACTTGGTCCAACTTGGCAGAGATAGGGTTAGGGAAAAGCATGGATGGCTTCTGGGTGGCAACACCTGGACAGCACTTGAAAGACAACAGGATTTCATCAGGCAAAGAAGGTGTAGTTTGCAAGGGCATTTTAATCAGAGGAAATAGCTTAAGCAAAGGCCTGGAGGTTTAAAGCAGCAGCATAAAATGAGGGATTGTAAGAAGCCATAGTAGGAGATAGGGAGATACCAGATCACAAAGGGCAAAAGATGCATTGGGGAACCACTGGAGGGGAGTGATAGCTCAGATTTGCTTTTAACTACGAAGTGAGTGTCTAGACTGAGACCCTCCCAGATATACAGGCATTTATCTCATTGCAAAGGGGAGACCAAGCCAGCCTTGATCTCATAGAACAAAAACCAACTAGCACATTGCAGACTTCTCACCAACTGATGGTCTCTGCCTCCGCTTTCTCCTCCATTTTGTTCCCTCTCCCATCTTTTTCACACAAACTATTCAAATGTCTGGGTCAAAGAAGATAAAGATCATAATATGATAATATATGAAAAGTTCTGAGTATAGCATATGATACATAGCAGATCCAGAATGTATGCTAGTCTCTTTCCACTTCCTCTGGGTTCAGACAAGATAAACTGGCAGTCACAACAAGTAGTTGCTGTCTGATTAGAGAAACTAAGACTGCGAAACTTCATGCTAAAATCACACACTGTTCTTGACAGATGAGCTGCAGTTCAGCAGCTGTCTGGAGAAGCACACACTCAATGCTAAGCCTTAAAAGGCCACTCTCCTCGCACTTGCCCTCCTCAAGTTAAGTGATGTAATAAAAAATCTCACCAAGTCATTAATATAAATATTTTCAGACTTTAAATAAGGTGTTTTTGCATTTTATTTCCAGCCTATGAGCCTGGATGCACTTTATTCCCTGCAGCACTGGCAACACACTCATTACCCTCCTGTGGGGAAGGAATGGTCATCCAGGAGCCAGCAAGTCAAGCAGATGAGAAACAGAACTAACCAAGCCAGGAGTCAGCCCAGACAGCCCCGGGATATTGACTCTGAGTGGCCAAATTCCTTCCATTTGAACCACAAATGCTGATAAAATATTTTCAGGAACACAGTGAGGGAATGTACTTCACTCACTTCCCAAAATGTAGACTTGAAGAGGTCAAATCCTATTTAATCCAGGCTGAGAAAATAATGCCCAACTTTATCCCGGAGCTAAATTTAGACATAAACTGAGATCTGGCCCTTGGCAAGTTAATTTAGATGAGCTAATGGTTGTTCCTGGCATAAGGGATACACTCAATAAATGGTAACTATTATTGTTACTGCAAAAATGGAGTGTCTGTTGGATGTTCTCATCTAGTCCTCCCACACATCCTAAAATCGGCTGTGCCAATCACTTGCACATCTGGGAACAAAGCTCCACATGAGGCTAAGGATGAGGCAGCTCTTTCTTTGGGAGCCCCTCTCTGGGAGGAGGCAGGCTTCCCTGTGGGAGCCCTTCTCTTGGGGAGAAGACCACCACCTAGCTATGCTGGTATGTGCTAGGTGGGCCTGACCTTGAGCTTAGGAGGAGGACTAGGCACCCCATTTTGCCCCTTCTCCCCTCTTCCAGCAGCAGCCTCTGCAATGGGGCTCAGACAGGTAAGGGGCCATGCAGGGAGCCAGGCTGGGCACATCCACAAGGAGAAGCTTGGCAGTGTTTCCAGCTTCCAGACCCTACAGGATATACTCTGCAGGGCTTAGGAAGAACTTACTGAATGAAGAGCCCCATCACTCCTCAAGGCTGCCAGAGGACCAAGGTAAATGCCTGTGTTTAGATAGCATCCATTGTCCCTAAAAGTAGGTTAGAGGCCAGGCGTGGTGGCTCATGCCTGTAATCCCAGCACTTTGGGAGGCCAAGGTGGGTGGATCACCTGAGGTTGGTAGTTCAAGACCAGCCTGACCAACATGGAGAAACCCCATCTCTACTAAAAATACAAAATTAGCCAGGTGTGGTGGCACATGCCTGTAATCCCAGTTACTCAGGAGGCTGAGGCAGGAGAATCACTTGAACCCAGGAGGCAGAGGTTGTGGTGAGCCAAGATTGTGCCATTGCACTCAGCCTGGATAACAAGAGCAAAACTCCATCTCAAAAAAAAAAAAAAAAGAAAAATGTAGGGCAGAAATGCAACAACCAGCTAACACATGATAATGTTTTTAGTAACCTTCATAATCACTTCTTTCACTTTTCTGTGCCTTAAAACAAATTAAAATTAAAATTTCATTTAATTATCCATCCTTCTTCCAAAATGTCTTCGGGAATTGTTCCCACTCGTGTCCCACTGCCAATCCTCCTAACACGAAGGCCTTGGTGCTGCCTTTGCCCCCTGACATCCAGCCAGTCACTGGTCTCATTTTCTTCCCTTGAGTGTCTCGAGGGTTTGTCCCTTCCCTTTCTACTTTCACTACCACCTCATCTGTTCCCACTTGGATTAGTATAAAAGGACCAGAACCAGTTTCTTGCCTCCAAATCACTCTTTCCATTGCAAGGTGAAACTTGCTAACACCCCAGTTTTCAACAGTGAGTGCATTAAGGTAGCGTTCCTAGAAACCATTCAGCAGTAGGTGGTGCTCTTGTGTCAGCTCAGTGTTCACAGGTTTTGTTCTATTCTCAAGCAGCCCAGTGAGTACAGACTGTGTCACGGTCAACTATTTATTTGGCACTAAGTATCTCTGGTCAACACAGAGTAATTGAAGACACTGGTCCTAACCTCCAGAAATTTTCAATATAATTGGGGGAATGAGATCTTTGAGCACCTAGCTATAATGCTAGATGGCATGGAACAGGGACAATTTGAGGGGGATGGATAAGGGCTGCAGGAAATGCTCAGAGGGAGAAAGAGCACCTCCAACAGGGCAGAACAGAGAGAGTAGCATCTGAGCTGGACCTTCAGCTGGGGGAGGGTTTTAATAGGCACATATAGTGGAGCAGGCATTCCAAATGGGAGGAGTGTTGGCATGAACAAAGGCATGAAAAGGTGGGAATGTGCAAAGCACAGAAGAGAATGCCCTGAGGGATGGGAGCTGAATGCCCAAGTCCAGTCTCACTCTCCATTCTAGGGCCCTCATGTTTGTACCCCCTCTTGCCACCTCATGACAAGGTCACCTCCCCAGGGAAATCTGGGACAAGCTGGTCAACCCAATCTCTAAAGAGGATGGAGGAAACCAAACCCTCTTTTATCTCTCCACCAGAACGCATATGTTACAGAGTATATCTTCTCACCACATCAGCAGTTGTTCCTATAGCAGGACATTCTTATGCTAGAGAAAGCTTACTAAGGAGAGACTAGAGGTGAACAAACCAAGAGTGGGATTTCAAAGGGGCCATGGGATGGGGGACTGGGGGAAGAACCCTTCTGGGATTCCAGCTAGAGGCAGATTTCCTCCAAGAGATTAATATTCCTTTGCGTGTTTTTTTTCTTTTTTTTATTATACTTTAAGTTCTAGGGTACATGTGCACAATGTGCAGGTTTGATACATAGGTATACATGTGCCATGTTGTTTTACCACAGGTTTCCGACTCTTTACAAGATAAGAGTATGAGGCTTTTGCTCTCCTTGGGAATGACCTCAGGAAGAGCCATGGGATACAGGAATGGGGTTGAACAGTAGATACCCTTGAGTTGGGCTTTTCCCTGAGAAACAGTAACTACTACTGACCTTGGCACCAGAACACTTTAACTCAACATTTTCATACTGGAAAAATCTCTCTGTGCTCACATGTGAGAAGACATCCTCCTGTATTTATATATGAGATGGTGTCTCTCTCTATTCAAGTGAGAGAACATCATTCTCTGGGTGGGCAAACTCTTGGGGTTTCAGATCAACTAACTTGGGCTACAAAAACTAGTGCACCTACACATACAAAATCTCATTCTCACCTGTGCAAGTGGGACCAAAAGCTGCAGACTCCTCCCATTACCCCTCATCCACTTGAAAAACTGGTCCCAGGAAAGCTGCATTAAAGAGTTTAGAGCCCACGTCAAACGAAAATAGGCTGAAAGAACTCACAGAACTTTATCTGGTGAAGAAAACATGAGGAAGGTCCCCAAGCACTGTCCCCAAGTTATGGGAGAGCTGCCCTGCAGGGGAAGGAAGAGAGTAGTTCCCCAATGACCCTGGGAGACAGAGATGGGACTGCAGGGTGTAACTACAGGAGGGTAGATTCTGGCCTGCTGGAAGGAGGACTTTCTAACAACTGGGGCTACAGAACAGTGGAACAGGCTGCCTCACAAAGCTGTGGCTTCCTCAGCCCTGGAAATGCTCAGAAGAATCTGGAAAAATGCACATCTGGAAGGGAGTTCTGCCATGGGTAAGGGATTGGACCTGAATCAAAGACTTTAGGATTCTCAGATGCTCCTGGCAAGACCTGAACCATTTGCCAGAATCCAGTTTTCCTCGTGGTCCACTGGTTATTCCATGGACTTCTGACTCTCTGTTGTGCTCTGACTCCTGGTAACCCACATGGCATGAACACAGACCTCCTGCACTCCTCTCTGTAGAGCCTGTGCTCCAGCCACACCCAACTGCAGACATTCCCAGGATCCAGCCTGCATTTTGAGGCTGCTGTGCCTTTGCTCACACTCTTCCATCTCCCTGCATCCCAAACCCTGGCTAAACATTTCTCCATCTATGCTCCCATAGCACTAATAGACACCGTTGTGAACTTACCTGTGCAATGGCTATTTGTTTGCTGGTGCCCTCTGCTCCAACATGGCCAGGCCTGAATGTAGCTCATCTTCCAATTGCCCATCCCTGGCACAGTACTCGGCACAGTGATTGGCTTATCTTCAGCAAGTGTTCTCTAAGATCCTGCCAGACTGGTTACAGCTTCCATTTCCTTTTCTCCCTGCTAGCAGCTGACCTTGTGTCTAATACCCACTGATGAGGTCCTCCTCAAGATCCCTTCTTGGTTTCTCCAGCCACCAGGTTCCTCACCTCCATGCTCTGCTGCCACAGGCTGCCTACTTTCCACTCTGGCATCTTTGTTGTGGATGGGGCTGTATTCCCCATGCATGCCCCTCAAGAGAGCCTCCCCAGGCATCTATCCACTGCTGATTCCACTCATTTACATGGGCCAGCACAAGTCTATCTCTACAAATCTACCATTTGTTCCATGTGCTGAATGTCTTCAAGGCTCCAGCCATACTGGTAGATTTATGTACATTTTCTTTAACTCATACAATAATCCTAAGGCAGGTATTAAAATCTATATTTTACAGATAAAGAAATCAGTGTTCAGAGGGGGTGAACTGAACACAGTCACTCAGCTACAAGTGGCCCAGCAGGGATTCAAACCCAGGTTTCTCCAGTTTCAAAGCCAGTGCTCTCTCTGTCCCCCACAGGAGGCCTGAACTGTGCATGGGGCTCTTCCTTAACTCTGACCAAGGAAGGAAGCAGGAATGGAAAAGGAAGGCCATTCAACAAGTTCAGAGAGAACAGGTGCACAAAAGGTAAGGACAGGCCTGAGGAGATGCCAGGACAGGGACCAAGAAGGTCACAAGTGGGAAAGGGAGTAGAAGAGGAACAGGGAAAATGGTAGAAGGTAGAAAAAAGGAAGGAAAGCAGGTTCCTCAAAGCAAAATGCCTAGAAAGAAACCTTGGGAAAGCTTCCTACCCCAAACAGAGACTTTGTTTTATAAAGTCTGACAAATTCATCACCCCAGGCAGGATAAGACTTTGGGTCCTGTTTTGGGCTCTAGGGAGTGACCAGAACTGTTTATACCTTGGAAGGAGAGGACAGGAAATAGAAGTGGATACTTTGCCCAGTGATGGGGCATTCCCAAATTACTTTATAATTTATAAAACAAATTATAAAGTAAAATTGGTTTTACTTTATAAACTCTGATTTTCCCTGCACTGCCCTACACTCTCCTCCATCCAAGGCCTAGGGTAAGAGTAGAGACACATAGTCCCAGCAGAAGGCCTGTCACACAGTAGACACTCAATGTCTGTTGATGAATGAGTCAATGAACTTTTCTCAGTTACTGCCCTGCACCACACACACACACACACACACACACACACACCTGAAGTGTCCTTCATTCTTCAAACAGGGTACCAAAACCTTTCCCCTGTTTCCCCTACTGGGGCAGAGCTGACATGTCTCCTTTTTGCTTGGACCACCTCCATGCTTTTTCTCCCATACATACTAAGACACTCACCCCACCTCCACCAGCCCTACCCCACCCAGAAAGCAACAGAGACCTTGATATCTTAACTCACCTGGGTTCTAGCCACTGGAGTGGTGACTCTCTAAACCATCTTTTCCTTACGATGTATCAAGAATTACATTAGTGCTAACTCTGATTTTCCCTGCACTGCCCTACACTATCCTCCATCCAAGGCCTAGGGTAAGAGTAGAGACACATAGCCCCAACAGAAGGCCTGTCACACAGTAGACACTCAATGTCTGTTGACGAATGAGTCAATGAACTTTTCTCAGTTACTGCCCTGCACCACACACACACACACACACACACACACACACATAGTTCATCTCTGATCAGACCTTCTTTTCACAGCTCACCTCAACTGCTGCAGACAGAGTCAGTGTGACAGCCCAGATTCTGGAAAGTACTGTTAACACAGTGTCTTAGTTCTCAGTTCCAAAGAGTCACTAAGGGGTCCACAGTTCTATGGGGTCCATTCATAAGCAGGGGCTGCATAGGCAGACTTTTTACACACAGCAGTTCAGGTCTTGGCACCTTCCACTCTCTTGAGAGAACCGTGGAAGGGAGCCAAGCCTCATGCCTGAGCATTCTTCCCCATCCTTCCTCCATTCTGTTCTCCACACCCACACTCCTCCTGCAGGCGTGCTAATCTCAGGATACAAATGGGGCTGAAAATGCAGGAGAGGGAAGAAAGGAGAGGGAGAAAGGATTTAAGAGGGAGAAAAACAGCTTTGGGAGAAAACACACACATGCAGCCTGTAGAACACGGTGACTTAGATTATTTTTGGAATCTAATGTTTCTAATGTTCAAGGGGAGGAAATGAGAAAAAGTAAGTCGAAATTCCCAGGACCAGCAGGCTGGAAATAATACAGGACACTGTGTTCTGTGTCAGGGGGCGGGATACAGACACACTTCCTTGCCCTGAGCTCCGTCAACAGGAGGTGGAGGGGTTTGGTGGTTAAGGTCTCAGTAGGAGAGGGGAGAGCAGGAACAAGAGGGCACCGGAGCCTTTCTCCAAAAAAAGCAGGAAATTACAACCACCCCGTAAAGGCCTTGCCCTTCTGGCCAACCCGAAGGTCACAGCTCTTTGAAGCCTCCCTCCCAACATGAAGGGCTCAGGCAATTGAACCACACAGAGACATGACACGCCCCTCTGGAGGCCTGTCCAGTGCTTGTCCCTTCACCACAGCACTGGTGAGGACACATGTCAAGTGACCCTTATCCTCCTAGCCCCCAGCCCCTTTAGCCACCGCCTAGGTTCCTGGCACATGCCACCATCTGTCCTGCACGGCAAGGAGCCTCCAAAGAGAGGGTGTAGAGAGTGTGTGTGTGCACGTGTGCACACATGTGTGTGTGCATGCGCACATGTGTGCGTGCGTGTGTTGGGAGAAGAGGGAGGAGCACCAGCTTCAAAGCAGAGGACTCTATCCCAAGCAAACCACTCAAGCACACCAAGTCTCAGCTTTCCCATCTGTGAAATGATGCCCCTATACGTGCCCACCTGGCCTACCACACACAGTACATGGGAGACTTGGATGATGAACCATGGACTGGATGATTTTGGGTGGGTCTCTGCTCTGGGTCAAAGATTACTATGTAAAAGGAAGGGCTGGGCCAGAAAATCTCTAAGGTCATGGGTGTGAAAATACTTTGAACATTCCGAAAAGAATTACATATTGTAATTACTGCAAAGGCACTTCACTTTGACAAATGACAGTGGAATCATGTTACTGCTGCCTCATGGGGAATGGGGGTGTTGGAGGTGTGGGGAAGAGAAGAGACAGTGGGCCAGGGTCCACCAGGGAAGTAGAAGCAGCAGGATTTCTCTACAACAGCCCCACTGGTTCTGGTCACCCCAGGCAGGATAAGACTTTGGGTCCTGTTTTGGGCTCTAGGGAGTGACCAGAACTGTTTATACCTTGGAGGGAGAGGACAGGAAATAGCAGTGGATACTTTGCCCAGTGACGGGGCATCCTGGGGATGTCCTGCAATGCTAATGTGGCCAACAGGACATACCAACCTCAAAACGCAATAAGCACATCACCCTTAGCACAGTGGTCTGCTGCCTACCACGATGCCCAGTGGTGCCCAGTGTAGATTTTCTCATGGTGATTAACATAAAAGCAGCATTATTTTGTTTGCACAGACTTCCAAGAATATTAAAATGCATAAACATTGCCATAGGAAGTATTTCTGGCCCCAAGTTTGCAAGGGAATAAGACAAATATGCTCTTAGCTATACTGCAAAGCAGAAGGTGACAAGTGTCTCAGATGTAGAGGGTGCATGGGGACAGGTGCTCACCTCTCATGGGACACCAGGAAGAATCACTTTTCTCTGGGGCTGCTTCAAGGACAGACCTTGTTTTTCCAGAGAACTTTCCCTGTGGAGGATGTCCCCACCCTGACTCCTCAGGTGTGACCCCAGTGTGACCTATGTGCTCCTCTTTTGTGCCCTGCCCAGGGGCACTGCATAGCCTGGTGACCTGCAGGACCCCCAAGAATCTACACCATAATTTCCAACTTCTCTCAAAAATCAATTCTGAATTTTGTTCCATTAAGGATAATTGAAAATGATTTAGAGCAGGTTCATTTGGAAGAGAGCATCAGTGACACTCTTCATGGTCTCAGCAGGCACCCATGACTGAAGAGTAAATCATAACTGAAATAGTGCAGGGAGAAGGAAGGGAAGCCAATGTTCCTGGAATAGCTATGCTGGGCCAGGCACCATGCCAGGCACTGCTACATACATAACCCCACTCAATTCTCATAACAACCCTGCGAAGAAGTTTGTCTTTTTTTTAAGCAAACAAACAAACAAAACCTCAAGGGAGTAGGGTTTTATTTGCTGAGAGGTTTCTTATTTTTCATAATTACCCAAGGCAACAATCCTGAAAAGAGAAGAACCCACTATAAATATGTAGGGGAGAATGAAAAAGCACAAAAGCAAAAAGTATTATACAATTGTTAAGTTGTAAAAGGGCTTAGATATTTATTTAGTGGAGCAAGTCTCAAAGGAAGAGGAAGGAAGAGAAATGGATTGGGGTTGGGGTGGGGCTTTATTAAACCACTCTGCAGATTCTGGTACATCTCCTCAGAAGTTTATTCTCTGTCATCACCACCTCCAAAGCTACCACCACCATGACCGTGGCCACCCCACTTCTCCTGTTGAAAGATGTTTTCATGAAGAGAGAGTATTGTGCATGAGAACAGTGCAGTGTGGAAGCAGAAGAAAAGTCAAAAGATGCTGAAGTAGAAGTAATATAAATTCTTTATCTTTGTTTTGTCGGTAACACAATTGGGGGTGATAAGTTAAAGATGTGCCTAATGTCTCACAATTGATACGTGTCACCCCAGGACAAATCCTAACCCCACCCACCACAGCTCCATTTCAGCATGGCACCCATGGATGTGAATAGAATTTCACCGTGCAAAAATGAATATGCAGGAAGGCATTTAAAAATTAGGTTTTCCAAGGTGAGCTTTCCTGTAGTGGTAAAGGCAGGGCTAGGCAGCCACGGAGGCCACAGTCTCTGCTGAACACCTAAAAAAAAAATGAGAGATTCTCATTTGGGCTAGATGTCTTGGTCATGGGGGAGGTAGGCACCAAAATATCCTCTCAAGCAGGGTGATAAGGATATTGTCTTGGGTGTTTCCCAACCATGCATTTACACATTAAACAAATACAATGTGCTGCATAAACCAATAATAGGCATGATTTCAATACTGGAAGCCCCATTAGCCAGCTTTGTTCACTCTTTTGGGGATTCTCCCAAAGTGCGAATATCTTCTCCTTTCCAGAATAGCTTTGGGCAAGGCTAAAAAATGGGCCTCCTGGGTAGACATCAGTAGAGCTTCCTTTATTCAGAAATGAAGTAGATAAAGATTTCTCAATCAGTTAAGTCTAGTTATGCACCGGAACTCTTCGAAGCTCTGCTCCTTCCCTGAAAAGACTGGAAGACTGAGGGCCTTCCCCACATCAGAAGGCAGATGGGAGTTTCGATATTTTCTGATACTTATCATTGGCATCAGCACATTGACATCACGAGGTCATAATGACTGTCATCAGATGGCAAGGCTGGGATTTCTACGGTGTGTGGGAGGTAGACGTGTGGACTTCACGGCTGCTTCTAGTTCTAGCATTAGAAGATGTGCCCTAGGCACCCAGGAAGGGGTGTGTCGGGGGAGGATCTTCCACTGAGTAGCACTCACCCTTCCATTTTCCAAAGGCACATCTACAATGAGTCTACTTAATGACCTTTAAGACCACATATGGCCCCCAGTGGGGAAGAGGCCCATCCCTTCTCTTCAGTAATAGGTTGTGTTTGCAGGGCAGACACCTTCATCACACAGGGTCTACCACAACTGGAGGGGTGGCCAGATGTGAAACATGGCTGCACAGAGAGCCTTAATCTGCACCAGGCCAATGAGTGGTGACCTGGCTTGTGTTCTGCGAATACAGTGGAGGACAGGCCCATTAGTTATAGACCAGAGGGCGCCCGGCTGAGACTGCAGTGGTTCATCTAACATCATGCATTGTTTGAATCATCTCTGAATTACTCTGTGTTTCCACAGATTGCTCATTAAGACTTTCCTGTCATTCCTGAGCAGCAGTGTTCCCTCTTCTCTGAACATTCTCCAAGCACAGAGGCTGTGCCTAGGACAGTACAGCATGCACAGAAAGCATTTAATAAGTAAGAGTTTATGCAAAGGGAAACAAAAAAACTTTTGGAGGTATGGCTATGTCTATTACCTTGATGGTTTTATAGGTGTATACGTATGTCCAAACTTATCAGATCATATATGTTAAATATGTGCCACTTATTGTTTATCAATTATACCTCAATAAACCTGCTTTTAAAAATAAAAAAAAGTGAATACACAGGAGCTTATGTGCTCACTTGCTTAATTAGATGGTGAGCTGCTCCAGACAGAACTTCTGGCCTACCCACCCTTTTGGTGGCTCACGACAGCTGTTCAACATTGATTATTAAATGAATGAGTGACTTGCTTTATGAATTATCTGTGGAACAGAGGCCCTACTCCCTAGATACTTAATTGGGAGAGAGCACGGCCCACTCCCCAGCACCTCCAAGATGGGGAATGTGGGGGCTCACCACAGGTGTCAGGGGAATAAGTGAGAGGCAGCTTCACTCCCCAAGGCCAGCTGGTAAATGGGGAACACCAACCCATTTTCAAGCCCTTGGGAACAAGCTGTCACCCTGCAAGGCCAGGGGCGAGACTGCGCCCACCTCTTTTACAAAAATAGAGGCTGAACTATCACCAGACTCCTCTGATTGCCAAGAGCTTCCCAGATCTGGAATTAGAGGCCTCCGCCAACCAGCCTCCCACCAGAAGGGAGACTAAGACTTGGCTCAGGCAGTAACTACTTCCTCAAGCCCTTGTTTAGATGTGGATCCACACTCACAGCCCTTATTCCAAACCATCACCCTCTTCACCCCCTTCCAAAGCCACCAAATAAGTCAAAGGCTGAGGCACTTAGCTCCGCGCAGATATTTTAAATTAATCTTAAAGCAACTTAAAAGGACTGTTTTTCTACCCTGTCCAGCACTCAGCACATTTTCAGTGGCAGCTGGGTCAAGCTTGAGTGGCATTTTCACCACTGACTCAACCTCAAAATATTCCTGGGCTGCCCTCGTCCCACCCTTCTTTTTGCTCCCTTGTTTTGAATATTCTCTCCCTCTCTCCCCACCCCTCTACTCACATGCACATGCATGAACATACACACGTGCACATTCGCCCACTCCCCCACACTCCTTTTTAAGGTATGAGCACATCACACAACAGACATTCTAAACCTTGGGTTCATGGATAGAATTCAGGGATCATATATTTGGATAGGGAAAAAAATCACGTCTTTATTTTCACTAACCTCTAACTGAAATATAGCATTCTCTTCCATTATGAACACAGTCAACAAACTGCATTAGTGTGTGTCTCTGACTCCAATAGAAACACACACATTTTCATATCACATCAGGGCTGTTGTCCTGAAACATCATTTATTTACATTCATCACTACTTCAGGATTATGGTAGTTATTAGACTTCAAGTAGATCTTATTAGTATGTTAATTAAAAATACATATAGTGCTGCTATTTTTAAAACGTAATAACTATTTCCTTATTTTATTTTTAACGTTTAATTTAGATTCAAGGGATACATATGCAGGTTTATTACTTGGGTATAATCCTATTACCCAGGTATGGGTATAGTACCCAATAGTTAGTTTTTCAACCCTTAGCCCCCTCTCTCTTTACTGCCTCCAGTAGTCCCCAGTTGCTATGTTGCCATCCTTAAGTCCATGAGTATCCAATGATTACCTCCCACTTATAAGTCGGAACCTGTGGTATTTGGTTTTCTGTTCCTGCAAATAACCGTGTTTAAGTAATTGTTTTCCAAGCCTATGTATATTTTTTGTACATTTACAAATGTTATTCTGAGAAGGGGTCCATATGCTTCACCAGACCAAAAGAGTCCATGGCACAGAAAGAGCCCCTGCTGTGGAATGAGCATTAAAATGTAGGATTTGGGATTTTTCTCTAGGGCCATCAAGGCATGCGCCAGGAGACCTAGGGGCTAACAGGTGGTGTTCAGTGGTAGCAGAAGGCAAGCTCTGGGAGCAGAGGGACAGCAGGGTTATTGGATAAGAGCTTGGATGGGCTTTGGAGACAGATTAAAACACTGGCCCTGGCTAACCAACAGTATGACCTTGGGCCAGCCACTTCACCTCTCTGAGTTTCCATTTCTTCAACTGTAAAGTAGTAATTATCAATGTACTATACAATTCTTATGAACATGGATTGAGAGCATATAGGTGTAACAGCAATTACTGCCCTGTTGAATGGAACTTGGCAGGCCCTAGAAAGGCAGCCTCCTTGACCTGGGAACTTCTGGAGCTATGGTATGCCGTTTACTTGGTTTTTCAGACAGGCACTATCTGTGCCCTATGCAGGCTTCCCATGTCCTTGAGCCTGAGGGATACCATGAAGTGCCCCAAACTCTAAAACATACCTAGGCAGACCTAAGTCTCCCACCTCCCTTTCTGTCCCTTGCTCACTGAAACAGGCACCCAGGCCAGGCTGCAAAGCAGATTCCCTGCCCCAGAGCAAAACAGGCCTCAAGAAAAAAGAGATGTTCCAGATCTTTCCAAAACTGGCAACAGGGCCGGGCACGGTGGCTCACGCCTGTAATCTCAGCACTTTGGGAGGCCAAGGTGAGTGGATCACGAGGTCAGGAGATCGAGACCATCCTGGCTAACACGGTGAAACCCCGTCTCTACTAAAAAAATACAAAAAATTAGCCAGGCATGGTGGCAGGCACCTGTAATCCCAGCTACTCAGGAGGCTGAGGCAGGAGAATGGCGTGAACCCGGGAGGTGGAGCTTGCAGTGAGCTGAGATGGTGCCACTGCACTTCAGCATGGGCGACAGAGCGAGACTCCGTCTCAAAAAAAAAAAAAAAAAAAAAAACAAAACAAAAAAATAAACAAAGAAAACAAAACTGGCAACAGAGCCAAAGTACCTGATTCTGGCTTCACAGAACAGCTGGCTCCTGCCTTGGCATCTAATCACTCGGTGAGCAATGCAGGAATTCTGAGGTCTAAGCTGCCCTTCTCAGGGCAGGTCAGGCCAGGGTCAGACCCAGGCTTCCAGGCCACTGGGCAAAGAGCCCCAAGAAAGGTCAGAAGTTCCCAAACCTTGCTTAAATCATATTCAAAAGGTATATAAAAAGTGATATGCTATAAAAAGTGATATGCATTAAAAAAACTGCATATACTAATTTTTTTACTATATGTTATAAAAAATTAGAAAACATTATAAAATTATACAGAGAAATTAAAATCAACCATAAGCCTGCCCCAAGGAAGCAAAACTATTAATATTCTGATAAATTTTCTTGCAGTTATATTTAATACATAAATTGGGATCACACTTATACAGAGAGCTGAAGATCTCGATTTCATCATTTAAAAATACCTAGAGACATTTTTCAATATGAGCTCTTAAAAGACAGAAAACCATGATATCAGACATTGTAAAATTCACAGGTTACTGAGAGATGTCATGGCATCCCTAAGAACAGTATTGGCCATTTAAATATAAGTTATATCCAGAAAACTCATAGGAAGAGAGCCTATTTTATTCTTCTTAAAGCACATATAATAGTAAACTCTTCTTTCTTCTCTTTAGCTTAAAGAGAATCTAGGAAAGATACCTTTGTATCCTCAGCAAAGAGGCACTATATGCAATTTTCCTTTTTTACATTCTCTTATCTTACTTTTCCCTGATAAGGGGAAAGCTTTGAAAATTCACTGCTGGAAAAAATGGTGTCTTACTCAAGAAAGTGCTTAGCAGCTGAAGAGAAACCTTTGGAAACAAGTGGGTATGGCAGGAAGAGCCCTGGACTTAGAAACAGAAAAATGCTGGATTCAGATGTCAGCTCTGTCACTGTAGACCCAAGATCAAAGAACATCCGTTTCCCTGCATGTCAAGAGAGATGCCACCACTCAACCCATAAGGATCAAAGGATTATGCAGATTAAATAAGACTGTGTGAAAGTGGTTTGTCAATGGTAAAATACATTGCAGGGCCATAATCACTAATTAATATTATAGTGGCTGTTAACAGTACTGTTTTTGTTCCTTAGCTGGCTTGAGCCACTCATTGCAGGCACTCGGGGCAGCTTCTAACAGTAGGTAAAAGCAGGGACCCTGGAGCCAGACTGCACTTCCCAGCTTGGTGAATTCTTTAACCTTTCAGTTTCTTCATCTGTAAAATGTGATTATAATAGTACATCTACCTCTCAGGACTCTTGAAAGGATTAAAATGAGTAAATTTACACACAGTGCTTAGAACAATACTGGGCACATAATACACACTATATAAGGGTGAGCTTAAAAAAATTACATTAGCTAAAACTAGTAGGCACACTGTTTTAAAGCTTTCCAGGAAAGTACTATCATTAATCAGAAAGTTGGATGAGCAACCTCTGCTCCCTCACCCCCATCCCGGCTCAGGTTTGGCCTGTTCCCTTCCTACCTTCTCAGCATCCTGCTCGAAGAGCCGCAGCTGAAAGCACTGGTCCAGCTTGAGCTTGCGCACATGCCACATCTGGTGCAGGTGCTGCCGGGTGGAGTGCAGCTTGTCCAGGAGACTGGTGATCTTGGGCACCAGGCTCTGGAAGTCAGCACTGCCCGGGATGCAGTTGCGTCCTGAGAAGCCGTCGCTGCAGCGGATGCACTGCAGCAGCCGCTGCCCCTCCCGGTCCAGCTCCTCCACAGGGGCCTTCAGCACCTTTTTCTTGAGCTGTGTGTGTTCGTCAATGAGCCGCCGAGAGCCCTCCACATCCACAGGAAACTCCTTCCGGGCTAGCATCTCCTGGAGGTCCTCGAGGCGCGAGAGCAGGTGCACGGCGCTGTTGAAGAACTCCTCCAGGGAGAGCCGCAGTTCGATCCACTCCTCATGGTTGTAGTCCAGGGAGCCATCAAACTCCTCCGTCAGCTGGGAGGGGTCCACCAGCTTTGTGAGGCCCTCCACAGATACCATGCTCGTCTGGAAGGGGCAGACACAGACAAGGATACTCAGTGATGTCAGGGGAAGAACAGGGCAGAAATAGGATGAGGGAAAGGACAAGATAAATCCACATAATAATGACCACAGCCTGCCTCGGAAATGGTGAGTGGAGGCCATGGGACTCACTGGTCAGGAGTCACAGATCAGTCAGGATCAGCAGTTTCTACAGACTGCTGACTGCTTTAGCAAGCCTCTACAACTGCCAGCCATTTACCACCCCAGAAGAACTGCTTTTGTGTCCCTCCTCTCCTCATTTTCCCTCCTCCTGACCCCAGTTCACTTCAAAAGGGCTTCAGAGGCTAGAAGCAGAAGCTGGAAGAAAAACTGACCTAGTTTCTGGGGGACAGTTTTCCACAGCTTTAAAACCAAGGCCCGTGGACCCAGGGTATCATCATAGTTGGATTAAGCAACATGGGCCAGTGCTTGGGCTGCAAAGATTTCACAGTCTTATCTTTTCCAAGGCTCTCCCTTTTAGCTCTTCTGTGGTATGGTGAACAGAACTAGGGATGGGCAACAGGGGAGTCTGCGCCCTTGGTTTTCTCTGTGAGGCCCCTACAAGCTCCTGGAGAGCGGACTGGAGAATGTTTGTCTCCAGGAAGGAAAGTGTCTCCAGCAAATGATGATGCAGGCAACCACCTTAGTTTATTAGTAAACATCTTTTCCTTCCTATAGGGCTTTAGGCTTCTCTTCTTTCTCATGAAGAATGAGAGGCTAGCAAATTAATATCTGTGTTTGGGTCCCAGCCCTATGCTTATTAACTGTGTGACCCAGGGCAAGCTATTAAGGTCTCAGAGCCTCAGTCTCCTCCTCTGTGTAATGGAGATAATTATTCCTTCCTCATGGGGCTTGCAGAGATTAAATGTATCAATGTGTGTAAAGCACATAGGGTGCATAGCATGGAGTACATGCTCAATCCCTGTTAGTGCTCACTCTGATGATCTGAAGGCTGCATCATTACTCAAAACCTGAAAAGCAATTTATCTCTCTGTGTCTTGCCACTCTCTGAGCATCCCCTCTTTGTTCCTTCTCTTTCCACCCCTCTCCTAAGAGGAAGGAAGGAGGTGCCATAGGCAGGAGGACTGGTCTGGAACAATGGTTGTCAAACTTGACTGCTCATTAGAATCCTTTGGGGAGTGTGCAAAAATACCAATGCTCAAACCTCATCCCTAGAAATTCTGATTTAATTGGCTAAATGGGAGCTTGGACATCAGTAGGTTTAAGAGTCCCTCAGATGATTCTAATGTGCAAGTAGAGTTGCAAACTCCTGCTAATCTCCATCCTTGCTACTCAAAGCATAGCTCTCAGACCAGCAGTATTGGCATCACATGGGAGCTTGTTAGAAATGCAGAATCTTAGGCCTTACCCCAGACCTATTGAGGCAGAATCTGCATTTTCAAAATCCCCAGGAGATTTGTGTGCATTAAACTTGAGAAACCCTATTCCAAAGTACTTTCTCCTTCAAATTTGGCTCAAAGTTTACCACTTCCGGGAAGTCCTCCATCATTATACTTACCAATTATTATATATCTGTTGTATAAGTATCTGTTGTTGAACAAGCTTATACTCTCATCTCTGTATCACTTGTCACCCCAGTCTGCACTAAGTATTAAATTCACTGTTTTTAAGATACTGCCTTATAAATATTCCTTTGATTGGGAGGCCCCCAGCTATCTCTCCTATCCTCTTATTTAGGAGGCAGAGACAAGCTTGTTCAACTTAGAGTGAAAGAGGTACAGAGAGATGGGACATGCAGGCCAGCAATGCTGAAGCAGAAGTATCAAGACTTACTGAAAAGATGCTTTTCAGTCTCTTCAGCTTATACATCTATAGGCTTGTTGTCACCACCTCTGTATAAACAAGCCAAAATATAGAAAGCATTTCCCTGCAGGACTTCTAGTGTTCTGGAGGGGTGCCAGGAGACTATAATAGGTCACTGTTTTTATACCAAGCCAAATTTCTTGTATTGTTTACACAGAGTGAGAATCGCCTGCATCAAGTGTCAGGTCATTGTGCTCAAATCACAGCCTATTTGACACCACACACAGGCGCTCCTGGCCCCCAGGGCACAAAAGTCTGGAATGGGAAGCTGCTGAAAGATTAAAAGCAGCTCTGTGTTTTCAACACACACACATTTAAAAGTTCATCCCCTTGCAGATGAGGACTAGAATTCTGAGGAAGGGAACAGTTTATATTTGGCTGGAATACAGACGCTTAAATCATTGATTTAATCTGATGTATTGTCATTGAAAATTCTCAGGGGAAACATATACCCTCCAGAAAATTTAGTTTAAAAACATGTTTTCCTTGATTATGAAAGTAATACATCATCCTTGAAAAAAATAAAAACATATGAAGTAAATAAAAACCATCCACTATCCAGTCACGTAGAATAAACCATCACTAACATCTTCAATCTCAGTTTTCTTCTCCATACATGCACTTTAAAAACAAATCTCAGATTATAGTGTCCATATTGTTTTATCACCTGCATTTTACTAAACAATAAATATTTTAATACTATTTTTTCTAAATATGGCTTTTCCTGGCTTCATCGTATTTGGGTTGCTTGTTTTGTTTTTTTGTTTGTTTGTTTATTTTGTTTTGTTTTTTGAGGAGTTTCGCTCTGTCACCCAGGCTGGAATGCAATAGTACGATCTCAGCTCACTGCAACCTCCGCCTCCCGGGTTCAAGTGATTCTCCTGCCTCAGCCTCTTGAGTAGCTTGGATTACAGGCACACGCCACCACGCCCGGCTAATTTTGTATTTTTAGTAGAGACAGGGTTTCACCATGTTGGCCAGGCTGGTCTTGAACTCCTGACCTCAAGTGATCCACCCTCCTCAGCCTCCCAAAGTGTTGGGATTACAGTACAGGCGTGAATCACCACGCCCAGCCAGTATTTGTGGATTAATGTCACCAACAGTCATGGCTAGCAAGGATACAACCTATATATGTGTATGTATATGCACTATATATGTATAAATATTTATGCACATGTGTATATATACTATTGTATAGGAACATGTGAGCTGTGATGAACATTCTTGTAGACATTTCTTGTTTGCAATTTTACCTGGCTTTTTACCTTCTTGTTTGTTGAGATTTCATATTAAGAATATTTTCTTAAATTAGGCTGGGCACAGTGGCTCATGCCTGTAATCCCAGCATTTTGGGAGGCTGAGGTGGGCAGATGACCTGAGGTAAGGAGTTTGAGACCAGCCAGGCCAACATGATGAAACCCTATCTCTACTAAAAACACAAAAATTAGCTAGGCATGGTGGCAGGTGCCTGTAGTCCCAGCTGCTCAGGAGGCTGAGGCAGGAGAATCACTTGAACCCAGGAGGCAGAGGTTGCAGTGAGCCGAGATCATCACTGCACTCCAGCCTGGGTAACAGAGTGAGACTCTATCTCAAAAAAAAAAAAAAGAATATTTTCTTAAATTAGTTACTAGATACAGAAATACAGTCAAATAGAAGGAATAAGTTCTAGTATTCAATAGCACAGTAGAGGAATTATAGTTAACAATCATTTATGGTATATTTCAAAAGCTAGAAGAGAACTGTAATGTTTCTAGCACAAAGAAATGATAAATGTTTGAGGTGATGGATATCCCATTTACTCTGATTTGATCGTTATATACTGTATACAGGCATCAAAATGTCACATGTACCCAAAAATATGTACAACTATGATACAGCAATAAAAAAAGAATTGCTACATCAATGGATATAAACTCTTCCTAAGGTTTTTGTTACAAATTGCAAAGCTGCCTCCACAAACAGTTGTCCCAGTTAACACAACCACCAACAGTAAATAAGACTGTCTAATGAAGGTGTGCATTTGGGACAATCTCGTGAGCCTCTTGTTCCTCCCCATACTCTAACTGGTAAGGCCATGGCGGCCAAGGAATCCTGAAATCTCAGCCCTTGAGGTGTCACATACTGTATGGTAGATAGAGAAGAGGACGTGAGAAATGTGTGGATGGCAGAAGGGGAAGGGAAAGAAGATGCTAAGAGAGAGAAATCTGGCTCACCTCAAAGATGAATTTGGAGCTGCCAAAGTTGGTCTTCTGTTTCTGCCAGAAGTTGTCGGGTTTAATGATGAGGGCCACATGGATCTCAGCTGGAAAGGCTTCCTGCAGCGTTTTGAGGAGGGGCTTGATGAGGTCCCACTTGGAGCCCCGCATGTCGATGATGACAGTGAAGCCACGTTTGCACACGTCCTCACTGTGGGGAGGTCAGAGGTCGGTATGGTCACTCTGGGTAGCTGAGACTTTGGAGTACACAGTCAAAAAGCACCCGGAAACCTGCACTCCCCTTGACCAGAATCACTCTTTCAACTTCATGCCAGGTCTCTTGGCCACCTTCAAACTCAGCTCAAACTGTACTGCCTTAGAAAACCCTTTCTACATCTGACCAATGGTCCTGGCATTCTGCCTTCTCCCAGCACTTGGCAAATAACTTGGCCTTTCTTACGCAGGTTGAGTATCCCTAATCTGAAAATCCAAAATCTGAAGTGCTCCAAAACTTGAAACTTTAAGAGGGTCAACATGATGCTCAAAGGAAATGATTGTTGCAGCATTTCGGAGTTTGGATTTTCGGATTAGAGATACTCACCCGGCAAGTAGAATGCAAACATTCCCCTCCACCGCAAAAAAAAAAAAAAAATCCAAAGTCCAAAACATTTCTGGTTCCAAGCATTTTGGATAGGAGCTACCCAACCTGTAGTCAACTGTACTTGTTGGGATGTTTACAATTTGGATATTCACAATTGTATTTGATTTTTATTTTAATGTTTGTCTCCCTTTCTTGTTCCTAAAATGAATCATGTTTTCCCCATTGAAATTCCAGTTCTCTAAAGACAGAGACCCTGTTGCCTCTTAAACCTGAGATGGAAAGTCCTTGACAGGGGTGTTGTTCTGCCCTGTGCTCACATCAGTGACAGGCACTGGTACATCTTGCCACTAAGCCCAAACTGGGCCAAAGAATACTTTTTCAAAAAAAGGCTCTATGTTGATTCTGCCAGTTGATGAGAGATGGTACACAAAGTATGAATAACATGTATTTATCACCATTGTATTTAAGATGTATTACTTGTAGTTTATTATTATTTCTTTTTACTTTTTTTTTTTTTAAAGAGTCAGGGTCTCGCTATGTGCACTGGCTGGAGTGCAGTGGCTATTCTCAGGCACAATCACAGTGCACTACAGTCTCAAAACTCCTGGCTTCAAATGATCCCCCTGCCTCAGCCTTCCAGGTAGCTGTGACTACAGGCTTGCGCCACCATGCCCAGCTTTGTGGTTTAAAATGTAAGTCAGCTTAAAAAATCAGATCGCTGAGTCATGCTGATCACTCAGAGAGAGCCAAGAGTGGAACTGACTGGAATGGAAGATGCAGACCAGTTGTTTCATGTATTTCCATTGTAAGAGTCACAGTGTGAAATGCACGTATCAGGATGTTGAGGGACGATGGGGGAGGAGTGACTCTTGAAATCAAGGCAAGATGAAGTGACAGTGACCATCTTGAAAACCAAGACATAAGCAGGCTAAATAAATCAAGATGTTGCTATATAACTTAGTAGCAAAGTTTATTTAAACATTTGAACTTTGACTATAACTCCTGAGAATAGGAAGAAAAAAAACGAAGGTCAGAATAGTTATAACATCTCAGTTTGGAAGAAAGTCTATGTTTGGGTAGTTAGGGGTCTTTCCTTCTCTTATGTTTTTAAAGCCAATCCGTTTATTTTATAATTCAAAATAGACATTGGTTACTTCACATTTTAAAATATAAATACCAGCATAGTATTTCCTTAGGGTCTTTCACTTAATTTCCCATTTCCCAGACTGCACTTGTTTAAACCACTATGTATGTTACCTGACCCACATATGTGCCTACCACATATCAGTTGCTTACAGCTGCTGGCAGTAAGGCCACAGAAGGATTCAGGTCACAAAAAGAAATAAAAACCTTTTTGGGGGGCTTTATTCTTAAATTTCAACCAGTGATGAGATTGTTACAGCCTCATTAAGAGACCACAGCTCTTGACTATGTGAGTGTCTCAAGCACAAGGCAGCTTACTTAGGCCTCCCTGGTACATAGAAAAGTCCCCAGGAGAGGCGACTCTCTCCAGCATGAGAGAAAGGATGAGTATTCTCCCCAATCCTGCATCCCAAAGGAAAGGAGTTGCCTCTTCTTCCCTGACACTTATTGAAACAATGAGTGGCCGAAGCTTTCCATAAATAATTTTGTCTATCTTCTTGTCTTAAAGCAATGTGACTTTTTCTCCAAATTACAGGATTTCTTTCCCATTATAAGAGAAACACCTGATAATTACACAAAAGTTGAAGTAGTCAAAGATCCATGCAAGAGATGCTAATGGTAGGACTTTATAACACCCAGGCCTATTTCCTTTCCACCTTTTCTGTGCGTAGAGTTTTCATATCATATACTGTTCTACTTTTCACTGTAACGTAGTTTTTTCTCATGTCTAAAATTTCTTCCAATCTGTTGCATTTAGTGATAGTCCATCTTATGCCTATACCATAACTTATTTGATCATTCTCATGATTGTTTTACAGAAAGGTATGTCAACTTACATGTCCACCAGCAGTGTATGACAGTACCACCCCCTTCCTGTATCCTCACCAGCACTGGTCATAGAATTTTTAAAATCTTTGCCCGTTTTATTAAAAAATATATTATATTATATTTAAATTTGCATTTCTTTGATTACTAGTTATTGCTTTTTGGCCTGTAAATATTTCTTCTGTGAATTACCTGATCAGCTCTTTTGTCCATCTTTCTATCAGGGATTAGTGGCTTTCTATTGGGATTTAGGAGTTTTCTCACTGAGCATCATTTAGTTTAGCTTAACTTATATTTGTTGCATGCCCAACTATGTCAGGTTCGGCAACGTTAACTGTGGGTCTTGCCTTTCCTTAGAGATGATTGTCTTCCTTATTTTCCTGCTCCTCAGACTCCATCTCTGTTGCTGTAATTATGCTGACCTGAGAATTCTTTGTCCCTAACAACAAATATTCTGTGTTGCTACCAAGAGCTGGAGGTCAACAATCCCAGCATCCAAAGCTGGTGGTCAGTAGCAGGTTATGCCCTGTTAACTAATCATTTCTGACAACTAAGAGTAGAAATTAGGTCCTAATATTCCGTAGGAGGTTCTCAATAACTCAGGAGATGGAGAAAGAGGCCCAGGAGCTGAGTGCTGTGACCTAATCTAATTGGCATCTTTCTGTGAAAACAGGCTAATCTTCCAAGGTGCTTTGTGTGTTTGGTTTCAAGTAAGGGGCATAGCTGGGAAAGGGGAAACGACTATTTCATTGTGTGCTCATTCTGTGCTGGGGCTATAGTTCAGTATTTGCCATACATCATTTCATTATATCCTAACAATAACTTCATAAACTAGGTATGGTTATCTCCATGTGACAGAAGATGAAATGGAGGCATAAAATTTGCCTAAGATCACATAACTAGTAAGTGGCTAAGCGAAAATTCAAAACCAGGACTGTTGACTTGAAAACCCAAGCTCAGGCTGGCTCACGCATATAATCCCAGCACTTTGGGAGGCTGAGGCGGGCAGATCACTTGAGGTCAGAAGTTCGAGACCAGCCTGGCCGGCGTGGTGAAACTCCATCTCTACTCAAAAATACAAAAAAAAAAAAAAGAAAACCCAAGCTCAGGTTACTATATCATACTATAACCCACCACACTGACACTATGTGTGGGTGTTTTTGTTTGGGGACAGGAGTTGGGGGTCAGAGATGAGGGGATTAAGTTAGGGGACTCAGAGGAGACGGGATAAATTAGGGCAAGGAGTCTAAGTGAATGATCTCCCTTCTGGAGTCTGTGAAAAACCACAAAGTCAGAGAAGCAAAAGAGCATGGCATATTGAGAAAGTTCAAGTGATTAACTCTGGTTCAGGCCTTTGAATGCAAGAGAGTGCAGCTCTGAGTGCCTTGGAGAGTCCCATTCTGGGCTCTGTCCCTCTTTTTGCACACCCCACCCCCTCCACCCCAGGAGCCAAGATGACTCACCCACATACAGTCTGTGCTGCACATCCCTCTTCCCCTTCTAGGCCAAGCTCCTAGTATCTGAAACCCTAATACTCTCCGCCCAAAGGACCCTTAGCCTACTTCCTGGGCCCATGGGTATCTCTTTCCAGGGTCCAATTCCCAAGGGCAAGTAACACCACCATTATGTGTACCCCTAAGCCTGAGGGGTGGCAAAGGGCTGCTATTTGCAAGGATGTGGCTAGAATATAAATGTGTGAGCTGGGGTGTTCACTTGAATGCATGAGGTCCCCCTGCCATGTAGGGCTGAGCTAGGGAGTGGAGAGAGAAGGCAGGCAGAGCATGAGTGGAGGCTGGTCTACTGTGCTGCCACATTTGGGCCTGGGAGCTCAAAGGAGTCCAACAAATCTAAATTTAAATTTGGCCTCCTAGGTTGCTGTGAAGATATATTTGTCAAGGTAGAAGGACAGAACATGTTTTATTTAACAGTTTGTTAGCTTGCTACATTAATTTCACATATTCAGACAAAGGGTATGTGAGCTTCCATTTGTACTCTTGCCCTAGGCACCACAATGTTAGAATCAGGCCTTGCAAGAGACGAGACTGGAGTGGATGCAGGCTTCAAATCAGAATGCACCTCATATGGCAAGGCAGGAGCAGTGGATTTGTCCTAAAGGCACTGAAGGGTAAGATTCAGAGAAGGAACATGATCAGGTGATTCAGACAGATTACCCTCCAACTGTGCAGAAGGAGGGTAAACTGGGGTCAGCCCAAAGGAGTGTGTAAGAGTAGAAGAAGGGTCTTTGCTAAAATGACTCTTCAAGGAAGTCTTCCATGGACAACCCTATTTAAACCTGTAACTGTCACCCGGCACTCTTTATACCCCTTCTCTTTATTTTTCTCCTTAGCACTTATTACCATCTGGATAATATGTTTTACTTATTTACTGTCCATCTTCCCTCACTGGAAAGTAACCTCAGTAAGGGCAGGAAGTTTTTATTCATTTCACTGTTGAATGTTCAGTGCCTACTACAGTGCCTGGTGCAAACAAGGAAGGGGAGGCAGCAGCTAAGGGTATGAAAACTAGAACCAGCTTCCTAGGCCTGAATACTGGCCCCATCATTTACTTACTGTGGAACCCCTCTGTGCCTCAGTTCCCACAATGTAAAATGTGAATAATAATTACAGGGTTGTCTTAAAGCCTAATAGACATAAATCACTTAGGATGGTGCCATACACAGACTGTTCTGTGTAAGTCTAAGCTGCCATAGGAGATGTCACTGGTGTCCACCCAGGGTCCCTTTACTAACCACTATGCCTTTTCTCCAGTTCCAAGAGTTTTGGAGCTATCAGCTGATGCCTGTAACCATCTCTGAATACTTGCTTTAGCTGATGCCTACGCTTCTCCAAGAGAAACCTGGGCAGTTATACTCCCACACCAGGGCTAGCAAGTGCCTGTCTGGTACAGGTATGTCAGAGCCTAGCTCCTTTACCTCATTGCAGAGTAACTCTGAAGTGTGATGCATTTTCACCGCCTCCCCAGTCTCCCCAGAAGGCTCCAGCTAGACTTCACCTGAAGTCTTCACCTATCCTTAGTTGGTTTTTCCCCTTTCCTAACTCTGCTTCTTTCAGTCTCTTACAAGTTTTTCCTGAATAGCAGACCCTTAATAAATCATTTGTATCCAAATCCCTGTCATATTAAACACAGTCTAAGACAGTTATTTTTATTACAGTGTTATGAATAATAATGTAAATATAAATTGTATACAGTTGGCCCTCCATATCTGTGGGTTCCACATCCATGTACTCAACCATCCTTGATGGAAAATACGTACAGCCACCTCTCTGAATCAGCAGGTCTCAAACTTTGGTTGGTTGAATCTGCCAATGTGAAACCAGCAGATTTAGAGGGCCAATTGTATATTTCATACATATATGAAATTCTGAAGGCAATTTGATATATGGTCTGGAAGTTAAAAGAGAAATCTGGTGTGGAAATTTTTATTCAGGAGTCACACAGTGCCTGGCACATAGTAGGTGTTCAAGAACATTTGCTGAATGAATAGATCCCCGAATGGGTGGTAGCTGATGTGCACACAAGTGGGTGAGATCCCCCAGCAAAATCCAGGAAGAGGAAAAGAACCATCTTCTGAGTCAAGAATAGAATTGACAGGAATATCAGTGTTTAAGAGGTGGGAGAAGGAAGTAGATGACCCTGAGGAAAAAATGAAGAGGTTAGAGAGAACCAGGAGAGGAATGACGTCAAAGAAATAAGGGAGGAGAGGATTGCAAGGAGGAACCACAGTGTCAAATGCTGCAGAGAGACTGGTCATTCACTAAGAGCAGAACTATTGTACTTAGCAACCAAGAGGCCACGGTCTCTTGAGTCAGGGAAATTTCAGTGGGGTGCTGGGGCCAGAATAAATGCTGGAGCAAGGAAGCAGTCTTCCTGGTTAATCTCTGTAATGATTAGCAGGAAGTGCCACAGACATCAGAGGCTGCTTGTGGTGCACTTCCACCCCCTGGCTCTGTCTCCCCAACCCCAGCAGTGGCCAGAGTCTGCATGGTGCTCTCTGGCCAACCAACTCCCGCAGCTGCTCCCCAGCCTGCCCTCTTCCCCAAGGCTGTTCTCTCATTCACTGTGCTCAAATGACAGCAGTTTGAGCAGACCCGTTTACAGTGGAACATAACTAACAGGTAGCCTGCTTTTTTTCCTTTAGGTGATTTACCTTTTAAAAGATATTTATTAGCCCAAATCAAACTTTCAAGGGCAGAAGTTTGCATTGTGTATGGTGAGGACGGGGGCATAGGAGGGTGAAGTTTGGAGCAGCAGACTTTTATATCCTTATTTTTTATTTAAAAATATTTTTCAAAGCAGACTTTTAAATCCCCTCAGGAGGGGAAAGAACAGTGGGTGACCCCCTTCCTGTTCCCACACCTGCTACTTGAGAGGGAGAAGGCAGCCACTGCCCTGTCTCCCCTGTGCTCACCCTGCCCTATAGTTTCCCATCTGGGCCATGGGTCCCCTGAGGCCCCCTTGGCCAGGTTCTCACCCTTTGTGATAAATTACAATCCCTTCAAACTGAGCTGTGTTCTGTTTCATAGACTCTCCAGGGCTCTTGGGCCCAGAAGTCATAAATGTATACCAAATGACTGGATGATTGATCAGCTGTTTCTTGTACCATTTCCTCTTTTGTTCATTAAATGCCACTGGGGCCGTTTTCACTTAGTAAGCCTGTGCTATCTCAGAAAAGCACTTTCACCACTTTATGCCAATGCTTCTCAAACTTTAGTGACTTTCTTTATCACCTAGAACACTTGTTTAAAAATGCTGATTTGGGGGAAGCCTTCCAGATATTCTGATGAATGTTGGTCTGGGATAAAGCTCAGGATTCTCCCCATAGTGATCCAAGGACAACAGTTAAGCACTCTTAGGTGTGGTTTTTGAGAGTTTAATGATAAAAACTCACTTTGTCTAAATCAGATATTACAATATGCATTTAATAAATAGTAGGTAACACACAAATAGATAGAGTAACAATGAAATAAGTCAGAACAACATCTGCAAGGTGAACAACAACTACACCATACAGAAGCCTGTTGAAAATGTTAGTTTCTCTCTCCATGGCCTCAGGGTCTCTCCAGTGGAGTCATTTATTGCAAGAATAGGCTTGGAAGGATTTCTGCCATTGGAGTAAATGTCTGGTTCTTTTTGCAAAGACTGAGCTCCTCCTCTTGGCCTAATGAGGATTTCCCTAAAGAGCTTGGCAGTTTCCCTCCCCAGTATTGCTGCATGTGCTCAGACACCTACTGAAGATTTGCTTTCCCTGGCTCCCCTCTCTAAGTTGCCATGAAATCACTGCGAGGTTTCTGCTTCTTGTCGTACACCTGACCTGGCAGCCACATCTCAAACTTCTGGGCAAGGCCTGGGTGTCTCTCTAGGTGCATGTTAGGTCCTGCCCACACCTGATGCCCACAGAGTCATCTCCTGACCCACTGGGCTGGCTCCAGGTCTGATAGATCCAGGTGTAGAGGGCTTCTGTGGGTGGGTGGGTGTGTGAGGAATGAATGAATAGGCGTGTCACAACTGATCGTTTTCACTAATGGTAGCCTAGCAGAGATCACAATTTAGCAGCCCACTATTGAAGACAATCCCCCAAAGTGGTTTTATTAGGCACAGTTGTTGTTGTCTGTAAAGTTTTTATGTCTTTGGAGAAGGCTTAAAAACCACTCTTCAAGCCACTCCCCGCTCATTTACAAACTTACACAACCAGTTTGTTGGCCTTTGGATTTGCCTTCTCTGTCTTAGTTGCTACTATTATCCCAGCTCTGTTTCACACTTTAGGAGACTCAATTACCTCCACTTCAGGGGCAGGGGGCAATTAGGGTACCAGTGCCTCAAGCCACAGGTCTCTCTGGACCCAGACAGCAGGGCTGAGCACCTGTCAATGACAACCCCAGGCCAAGCTTTGTCCTACATTACAGTTTGGCCTTAGGGAGACAAATGCCACTTTCTCCCATCTTGACTTCCAATCTCTTCTTCCTGAACTTCTTTCCAGGTTCCTGTCTGAGCAAATCCCAGAGTGTCTCTCTGGATTCTCCCCTGGCCACATGAGTGAACCACCTTGCATACCGCCCATTATCATCTGACCACAGGGTTAAATTCAAATGCTACCTTCTATTCTTTCCTGATCTTTCTTCTACATTATTGCCTGATCATCCTCTGTCAGAGCAATCTCCTCCTCGCTAAAACAGACAACACATTATCCATGCCTCTCTTAATGCATTTATTAGTTTCAATTTTATATTCAGTTTGCCCTCTCATGCCTCTATGCCTTTGTGCTTGCCCACGCCAACCCCATCTTTGCCTGGGTAATTTTTACTCACATTTTTACATTCACAAGCCTCACAAGCCTCTTCTTCCAAGAAGTCTTCTCTTACAGATACATTCCCTCCCCACCCTGCTCCATCTGCACTGGGATAAGGGGCTCTTCCTATGCATTGCCATGACCCTGTGCTTTCCCACGTGGCAACTGTCATGGCTATTGTGGGGTATCTACAGCCAGGCTCTGGTTGACCAATTTCTAGAGCCTTACAGAGATTCATACGGCTTCAAAAGGAGAACCTCATTATGAAGGTGCTTCACAAATAATACAGTGTCACATAAATGCACCATATTATCTATTAGTTCATTAATTTATTCATGCAACATACATTTATTGAGCATTTACTTTGTGGCTGGCCCAGTACCAGGCACCAGGTATATATAAATGTGGACAAGACAGAAACATGAAAGTTTCATTCTAGAAGGAGAGGTGGACACAAGACAATGCTAGATAAAGAGAATAAATGCAAGTTATGATAAGTCTTAAGAACTTCTTAGGACAGCCCACATGAGGAGCAAAGACTGAAACTATAAGAAATAATTTGTTAGGGGAACACTAAAAAAATACTAGAGGCCGGGCACGGTGGCTCATGCCTGTAATCCCAGCACTTGGTGAGGCTGAGGCGGGCAGATCACTTGAGGTCAGGAGTTCAAGACCAGCCTGGCCAACATGGTGAAACCTGTCTCTACTAAAAATACAAAATTAGCTGGGTGTGGTGGCAGGAGACTGTAATCCCAGCTACTCAAGAGGCTGAGGCAGGAGAATTGCTTGAACCCGGGAGGCGGAGGTTGCAGTGAGCTGAGATCGCACCATTGCACTCCAGCCTGGGTAACAAGAGCAAAACTCTGTCTCAAAAAAAAAATATATATATATACTTCAGACAGAGGGAACAGCCTGTGCAAAGGCCCTGAGGAGTCAAACAGCCTGGATGCTGGCTGCTCCTCCACTGCAGCCAGGGGAGGAAGCAGAAATCATGAACTTTGGTAAGGAAGCAGGAGACCAGCAGCTACATCTTGGCTAGCCCTCTAAATCGTGAGGACCTCAAATCTTCCAGCTGAATAGACATATACAATGAGAGCCAAACTACTGAAATTTGGGGCAACTTTTTTTGGTAAAAATGAGACATATTCACATATTAGTGGTAAAAGCTAACTTACCGAACACATGAGGCTCTGTATTAACATTTATATACATTATCTTATGAATTCCTCAGATGAAACTCATAAGTAGCTGCTATTTATTATCCTGCCCTACCGTTAAGAAAACTGAGGCTCAGAGAAGTTGCTTACAGTCACAAGGAAAGGGTAAAATCAGGATTTGAATCTTGTTTTGTTTGACTCCAGTATTTGTGCATAAAACTACAATTTTTTTTTTTTTTTTTTTTTTTTTTTTGCTTCATAGATGCATAGAACACTTGATCTTGAAGAAACATTCATGCTTCTTCTTGCTAGCTCCTCCTGTTAGAACTGAGGGTAGAAAGTTTCAGAGGTGGGAAGTGACTTGCTCTAGGTCACACAGTCTGCTGGATATCTTAGCCATTTGGGCCAGGCATCTAGTTGTCAACTGCCTTACTCCAGGTCTTTTATAAAACCATGAGAACTCTGGAAGTGACAGGAAGAAAAATCCTCCCTTGAAGAAGCAAACATCAAATAATCTGGCTTGGAGGCCCAGGGTATCCTGTGTGAGTACTAAAACCCCTAACTCAGGAATAAGGACCATCCTCCTCATGGTTTCCACTGTGCTCTGGCAGCAGAGAAATGGCCTGACCCTGTTTGCCCCCACTCATGTGATGCCACCTGAGATCTACCCCATTTCTATGAATGTCTGGCAGATTCCCACTTAAAACAGCTGCTGGAATAAAGATCACATTGATCCATTCTGATGGCAGGTGGGGAAGCAGAGACCCATAACAAGCACCACTCCAGCAGACCAGTCAGGGGGATGAAGATTTCTGCTTACCTCCTTAGTGTGTGCTGCTGGGGGCTGGTTCCTTTGGCCTGGGTGTGTGTTTCAGGGTATCAGCAGTGTGAAGATGTCAGAATCCTAGTGTGAGGACCAGGAATCCCTAGTGCTTGGGCTGTGATGGAGCACAATTAACCTTCAAATAAGACCTATTCACTAGGATGTCCAGGGAAGGTGACAAACTGAACACGGGTAGAGAGCTAGCCTGGTCACTGAGGAGTGGCTGACAGAGAAGAAGGACAAGGCAAGCTAAGAGTTCCTCATTTAATGAGGGTGGCACTGGCCCTGCCATAGCACAGCTTTGGTCCTACAGGGCTGACAGTGCAGGATGACTTGGAGGAATGATCGGGAGGAGTCTTATCCATGATGCCTGGGCAGCCTTTAGTACCTGCAGACCGTTCACCATAGGCAGACAGAAACCAGAAAAGGGAGGAAGAAAAAGTAGCCCCAAGTAAGTATCCACTTCACACTTTCTCCCAGAACTGTGCTGCACCCATGTCTACCCTAAATCATTACATAAACTGAGTTCTTCCAAATTTGAGGAGAAAGAAAGGTTCCTGGAGTTCTGTAGAGAAAACAATTCTCCTGACCCATTTGTGCCAGAATTCTCAAGCCATTCAGACATGTGGAGAGTCTCTGGCTGTGGGATCTAGACTTTGTTCAAACTTTTGCCCATTACTTGATCTATGTTAAGCTGCTTTCTGCTCCTCAGGGCTATTCTAACTGCCTCTGTACTTCTGCTGATTGCCCCAAGCCACACCCACTTTCTGAAACACCAGAGATCAGCAGGTGTTAAAGAAAAGTGTTAAAGACACATTATCACCTGCTTTAAGTTCTCTAATTGGTATAATCAGAAGTAGTAAAGAGAATATTGGATGAGACAGTGTCTTACAGAGAATGAGCCGCTCTCTAGGAATGGGTTTTGAATGAATGTTTGCTCCCACAGACAGTTCTCAAACTGGTCCTTTAAAATGGGGAGGCCTCCTGGATGGCTGGGTATCCAGAAGGCAGGAGAGAGGTGGTGGGGCTCCCTGTGCTGCTCATGCGCTCTCTCCGCTGGGTCATGGGTGACTGTTCTCCACCAGCTGTCTTTCTGTCAAGCTGTAATCCAGCTGCCAAAAGACCTCCTCAGAATCTACGTTAATTCATCCAGAGGTTTTTGTTGTTGTTTGTACTGGAAGTCACCCTCTGGCCTCTTACCCAGGTTATTATTCCAAAGAGTTAGTGTCTTTTCTACCCATTTAACAACACATCTTTTGCCTCTGCACATCTGATTTGTGATGCCAGGGCTAGTGGGGGCAGTGGGGTGGTGCAAAGGTAGTATCTTATCCTAAATCTAAGTTTCAAGTCCTCCTCTATAAAGTGGTTTGACTCAGTATCTGTGCATAAAACTGCCATGCTATCTTGCCTCATAGATGCGTAGAACACTTGATCTTGAGGAAACATTCATGCTTCTTCTTGCTAGCTCCTCCTGTTAGAACTGAGGGTAGCAAGTTTCAGAGGCGGGAAGTGACTTGCTTTAGGTCACACAGTCGGCTGGATATCTTAGCCGTTTGGACCAGGCATCTAACTGTCAACTGCCTTATTCCAGGTCTATAAAGTGAGGAGATTCTGACTAATTGGTCTGGGGTTGGACTCGATCATTTTTAAAAGTTCCCCCTGGTGATTCTAATGTGCAGCCATGGTTAAGTACCACTGAAGGCAAAGTTGTAGAGATTTGTTTGCCTATTTCTAGGTCTAGGAACTACTCCTTGTCAGTTCCTCACCCTCAAGTGTGCCAGAAGCAAACCCAACTCTTGCCCATCAGAGTCCCAGGGAAACCCTAACTGCAGACCAAATGAGGAAGGTTGATAGTTTCCACCTTTTTAAAGTCTGCTACCTAATTCTACACAAATAATACTATTAAAAAACAAAACAAAACAAAAACAAAAAGACCTCTCATTGCAAACACCTGGAACAGGGATGTGGTGGTTTCTCTTTTTCTCTTCCAGGCAGAGTGTGGTAAAGTATTCAATAGCACAGACTCAGGTCCCAGGGTCACACCCAACATTCCCAGGTATAGCCATAAAGTGACAGGTCCAGAGGCCTAAAATCACTCAGCGGGATCTCTGCATCCAAATCCCAACTTGTCTTCAATGCTGCCTTTAAACAAAATATTCTACAAATCAAGTCCTCTCAAAAAGAACAAAGACAGTGGCTCACGCCTGTAATCCCAGCACTTTGGAAGGCTGCAACAGGCGACTTGCTTGAGCTCAGGGGTTCGAGACCAGCCTGGGCAAGATGTTGGAACCACGTCTCTACAAAAAAATACCAAAAGTAGCTGGGCAAGGTGGCGCATGCCTGTAGTCCCAGCTACTAGGGAGGCTGAGGTGGGAGGATAGCTTGAGCCCAGAAGGTGGAGGTGGCAGTAAGCCAAATTGCACTACTGCACTCCAGTCTGGGCAACAGAGCCAGACCCTGTCTCAAAAAAAAAGAAAAAAAGAAAAAAAAAAAAAAAGCAAAGACTTGCCATGCCACGCCGCAAACAGTCAAAAGAGCATCCCACAGCTGAAGGGAGCTCCCAAAGAGAGCTCCGGGAATGGCGGGGGTGACAGCAGGATCAGGCAAATGCACGCAGTCTTCCAAAGGATGTACACCTTGGAGGGACCAGCATGAGGCAGCTGCATAAACCCTGATGGGTTTGTCAATCAGTAAGGTCATTTTACAGCCTTACAGGCTCTGAAACACAACTCCTGTTCACCAAAGGAAGAGACCCACTTTCTGAATCAGAGTGGCTTGGGAGCACAGCATTTGTTTGGAAGGAGCTACTCTTAGCCAAGAGAAGACATGAAAACTGTGAAAGCACAAGAACCATTGCTCCTAGAGTCTGGTCTAGCTGGCTAGGGAGAGAAGGTGGCAAAGGGGTGGGTTCAGATGGGAGTGGGATGGAAACTGACATCCATTTCAGGACAGCAGCTTCCTGCCCTATTTCCCACCCTCCCTCACAGAGCTGTTCATCCCTTCCTTCTGGGCCATTCAGAACATGCAGCAGAAATGAAATGGAAACCAAAGCACTACAGGGAAAGAAAGAACTGGAAACCAAAACCCACATAGCCCTCCCATTTTCCGCAGCCCTCCTCAGACAACCCCCAAGGTACTCTCTTCTGGCCTTCTCTACCCTCTCCTTCTTTCCCGCTCCCCACTCCCCTTAGTCAGGCTATATGAAAAACAATTCATCTTTTAACTTTAAAAAATATCATTATGATCATAGCACATATATCTGTGACAAAGACTGTGACCTGTCTAAGCACAGTGCCTCAGCCACCCCACTGTAAGACACAAGGAGCCTTTCTAAAACGTGGAGTAAGAGAAGAGAGCTGAGGGGACTCAAGAGAAATGGCAACAGTGCAGCCATGGGCTGCCTCCCACTCAGGTGCTGCACCCGACCTGTCCAGGAGACAGAGCAGCAACTCTCCCAGGCTTGGCCTACTACCATGCCATCACCACTCCTCATTCTCTTGTCACACCCCCACCTCTCCCTGCCCTCTCACAGGAACCCCCACACACTCTCCAGCTGGGCTCTGGTTTCCTGGCAGGCCAGGTGGAATCCTCATTAATAAACCACATGTTTCCTCCAGGAAACAGTCCTTGCTGTGGCTTGCACACACCTCCTCTCCTTCCCTCCTCCTCTTTCTCCTTAAGTAGCAGTCACATTCTTGAAAGCCCAGTGCTCTTTGCCTGCAGCACGCAGACACATGCACAACCATCCCCACCAACACACAATGCAACACGCCACACAAAGCCACCCCCCCCAGGCCATGCCCACTGGGTTTTACCAACCAGTGCAGGAGCTCTATTTCCTGCAGGGCAGGCGGCTGTTACCCTCTAGCTAGCCTGCCTTCCCTCTGACACACAGCCAGGGTTGCCCTGGCAGAGGGGACTGATGAGATCCCCATGGTTTACATGGAGGAAAAACCTTGTGATGGCTCAGACACTAGTGGGAACCTGGGAATTACAAGGGAGGTCAAAGAGCTGGAGTCGGGGAGCCCTGTGGGAGGTGAAGGCTTGCATGTTTGGATCTTGAAATGGAACAGGGAGGACCAAGGGCTCCAGGTCTTTGCTCCAAATCAGAATAAACTAGGCTGCCCCCATGCATAACTAGCTCAGAAGCTCAGGAAGCTCACATATAGGGTGGAAGAATCCCTCCACATATGACTTCATAGAGGCCCTTATCCTGTGCATGCTGCTCTAGGCACCCTGCTGTCCCACAGGCAGGGTCTATGTTAGGGGGCAGTGTATGTATGATTGCAGCAAGCTCAGGACTGGTACCCTAGCCAGCTGGAGGACCCTGAGCCCATGACTGGACCCCTTTAGACAGCATTCTACTCTTTTTAAAAGAAAGAGTTGGCCTGGCAGACCTCTACAGCTTCTTCCTGCCTTTAAGCTCCAGAATTCCAATTCATCTATTTCCTTTACAATCCAGGTCAGATTTTTACCACCAGTAAATTATGTCTGATTACGTCCATTTAACTGACATGCTTGTGTGGCTGCTGCCTTGGAAGCTTTCAGTTTTTGTCTTCTCCTGTGGATTCTGAAACCTTAACCAGACCACAAACCTCCTGAAGGCAAGAACTGGGTCCCTCCCCCATTCCCCACCCCATTAATCTGCAAATTCAGCCAAGAGATCATTTGACCATTCCCTCTGAGTTTGTGTGTATGTAAGAACTAAACAAGTGTCCTGTGTATCCACAGAATTAAATCTGAACCAATGTGCAATCTTCCCAATGCAGCACTCCTTCATAGTCAGAGCTGCAAGAGGGTGAGGAATGGTCTTGCTTTCCTCCAAGTTCAAAACAGGGAGTTTCTCTTCAGCCAATGAGGGTGAAGCCTGAATTTCCTGCAAAGGAAAACAGCTTATGGTCTGGAGATCCAGGACATTCTCTTCCTGTGTAGGGAACCAGGGTGGAGTGCATCACAGGACAAGGTTCAGACCTTGTCTCAGGCACCAGGCCAAAACCTGGCACATGCATTACTAGCGATGGAAACAGATAAAATTCCAGCTCCGGACAGAACAGTCTGGGAGATGCAAGGGAGAAAAATGTACTGATTTTAGAGTTTTTTAGTAGCTCTCAAAACCAAGGCTGGTCCTCACTTGACCTAGAACAAATGGGAAATGCAGAGAGGAAGGAGGCTCTGAGAGAAAAGGAAAGAGGGGCCAGGGCCATCAGGACACATGCTTGAATTACGTCAGTAAATTATCCGAAAAACATTCATCCTTGCTGAGTCACCATGGCTGACAAAGTGCTCCCATCTAAGTTCCAGGAGAAATGGGGCTGGCTGTCATACTTGCTTAATTTAGAAACAAGAATATAGCTCCTTGGTGAGACTGAGTCCACTGCTAGTTCCCTCGCAGGTACATCCATGCTCCGTCCCCTGGCAGAAGGCTCTGCCCCACTCTGCCACAGTGCCAGTCCACCCACCTCTGGCCTGGGTAACCCCCTGTGGTCACAGCCCCGGACAGAGGAAAGAGAACCTCCTGAAGGAAACCTCAGTCTGGCCTCAGGTACTTCATGTCTGAAATAGAGATCCCGGCATTGGCCCTAAGGAGTATGGGGGGGGTGAAGCCCTCTCCTTTTTCCTTGGGGAGCCTCCAGTCTAATTGAATTCAGCCAGTTTGCAAGGTGGTGCTCCACACCCTCAGGGGCAAGAAACAAAACCAACCATTCCAACCTGCAAGAGGTTCACCACCTATCAGAGAGAAAGTTGTGTGGTTTCTCTCAGGACACTCAGATCTCATAGAAGGGATGGGACTCACCCCCATTATATGAGTTTTCCAGATTCAAAAATCTTTAAATGCTGTTCAAATCACTTGTTTTGTTTAGGTAATGCTGGACTTTTGAGAACAAAATTCTGAATAAATCTTTTTTTCTAAAGCAATCTAAGAAAACATGAGATGGGGTGGAGAAGGCGAGGGGGAGACTTTTTTTTTTCAATACAAGTGACAGAGGCAAACTGGTACAGAAATCTTCTGCAACTGATGAGTGCCTACACCCAAGCTAAATTCTCTGCAACAGAAACCCTAGATAGTTTTGTTTTTCTTGTACTCATCTTCCATGTTGAGAGAAAGAAAATATTGTCTGGAAAGGAAGGTCTGAAAAGACAAATTATCTTCAATGTTTTATCTTCAATGTTTGTGGCTGATGAAAAAGGTCAGGGGGACAGTGGGAGCTCCAAGAGATAAGTTCGCTTGGGGCACTGCAACTTCAGATCTACCAAAGATGAAGGCAAAACCAACAGGAATGTTTTTTGTTAGTGTTTTAGTTTTTTTAAATTTGATTTTATTTTAAAAAGAATTATTATAGAAACACCACACTATTTATATCCCCAAAATAGCATTATTATAAAATTCCCAGTTTCAACATAGCAGGTGAAACATTTTCACAAACATTATTTTATCTATCATTTACTACAGTTCTTTGAGAAAGATTGTATCAAACTCACTTGTAGTTGAAGAAGAGTAATCCTTGCTTATTGGTTGCTTAAATTTCAGTGTTTCAATAAAATTTTAAACAGTAAAGCTTGGAAAATCCCAGATTTAATGAGGAGAGAACCAGAATAGAACCATTGGAGCCTCTGACAAAACCCATCTATGTCTTCTTGGGCAACTGAGCTCAGGTACTCTACCACTTGGTGGCAGCACACCTAAACTGCCAGAAGAGTGTACAATAAAGGCAGTCTCTACAAAACTGAAGTGTCGTAACATAGAGTGTCCGTATCAAATATATGCCTGAAAACATACTCAACCCCAAACATCAGTGAAGGGCACATAATCAGACTTAACCAATGATAAGTAAAGAGAGAAATAGAAAACACAGTGAAAATGATATGTAATGGGGGAAAGAGAAACAGCCCCAAATCTGGATCCCCATAACTGAAAAACACATCCTTTTCCCCAGATGCTAGGCTGTCTCTCCAGCATCTATATTCAGGGAACTCTCTTATTTTCAATATTCCAGCCAAATGAATCCCAGCTAAATTTAACTCATCCTGATTACCTACCACAAACTCCAGAAACACCTGAATGCATTGGATCTTATTTCACCTGACATTGAAGTTGACCTAATCAAGGTGACACCAGACACTTCAGCTTCCTAATCAGCCTGCTCTTGGTGAGCCATAGACAACAGTAGCCTAAAAGAGAAATTAAATGACCACATCTAGGCTTTCCAGGCTCATTCAACATTGCTGCCCAGAAAGGCCTTTCTCCATAAAAGGCAGATAAGGACACCAGTTCTGATAAACACAAAAGAGGTTAACCACTTTAAGCCATGCCAGAACTGACTACACAACCAGCCAAGGAGCTGAAACACATCCAGAGGCAAAACTAAAGAATCACCAAGGGCAAAAAAAAACAAGCAAGCCCTTTTTAGATTTCATATCAGATCCTAACTTTAATGTGCGCTCCCTGTTAAGGGGCCATATTAGTTTAGGAAAGTAAAAGGAATCCTTGCCTGGGAGGCCCTGCAGAGCAGGCCCTGTGACCAATCCCTTTAGTCTTTCCAAAGTCAGGATAAGGTTTAGGTACACAATATATGGCCCTAAGTTAGGGTCATTGATGATGGTGATAAGAATGTTTGCACAATGGTGCCTGGGCAATGGTGAGCAAATAAATTTAGGGAAATGCAAAGAATAGGAAATCTCATTGGAAAACAGTACGGAGGTTTCTCAAAAAGTAAAAATAAAACTACCATATGATCCAGCGATCCCATGTCTAGGTATATGGCCAAAAGAAAGGAAATCATAATGGAGTACTAGTCAGCCAATAAAAAGAATGAGATCTTGTCATTTGCATGACCATGGATGGAACTGAAGGACATTATGTTAAGTGAAATAAGCCAGGCACAGAAAGACAAACATTGCAAGTCATACTGGGAGTATAAATTGATAAATTTGGAAATAAATTTGGTGAGTTGTCCCACCAGCTTTAAAAAAAGGTTCATAAAATAAGTAATCTGATTAAAACATGGGCAAAAGATCCGAATAGACATTTCTCAAAAGAAGATATACAAAATGGCCAACAGGTACATGAAAAACATACTCAACATCACTAATCATCAGTGAAATGCAACTCAAAACCATATAAGATATCATCTCACCTCATTTAGAATGGCTACTAAAAAAAAACAAAAAACAACAACAATGACAAAAAAAAACAGAAAATAACAGATGCTGAGGTGGATGCAGAAAAAGGGAAACACTCATACACTGTTGGTGGGAATGTAAGTTAGTACAGCAACTACAGAAAACAGTACAGAGGTTTCTCAAAAAAATAAATATAAAATTACCGTATGATCCAGCAATCCCACTGCTGGGTATGTAGCCAAAAGAAAGGAAATCTGTGTATCAAAAAGATACCTGCACTCCCATGTTTACTGCAGCACTATTCACAATAGCCAAGACATGGAATCAACCTTACTGTCCATCAACAGATGAATGGATAAAGAAAATGTGATATAAATACACAACGGAGTACTCTTCAGCCATAAAAAGAATGAAATCTTATCATTTGCAGCAACATGGATGGAACTGAAGGACATTATGTTCAGTGAAATAAGCCAGGTACAGAAAGGCAAATATTGTGTGTTCTCACTCATATGTGGGAGCTAGAAAAAAACAACTCACACAGGTAGTAAATACAATGATGATTACCAGACGCTGGGAAGAGAAGGGAGAAGGAACAAAGAGGGTGATTAATAGGTACAAAATACAGTTACATAGAAGGAATAAGATCTAGTGTTTGATAGCACAGTAGAGTGACTCTAGTTAACAATAATTTATAATATATTTCAAAATAGCTATAAGAGAAGATTTGGAATGTTTCCAACAAAAAAAATGATAAATTTCTGAGATGATGGAAATCTCAATGCCTCTGATTTGACCACTGCACATTGTATACATCTATCAAAATATCATATGCACCCTATAAATATGTACATTATGTATCAATTTTTAAAAAGCAAAAAAAAATTATATATGTAACAACTAAAAAAAGCCCATGATTGCTACAGATTTATCTCGAAGAAACCACTTAAGATACAGACAAAGGTTTACATAAAAAGATTTTTACTGAGGGTTACTTACAACACTGAACTTCTGGAAACGACTTAGATGCCCAGTGATATGGTTAATTAAATATGATGCATCCCAAGACACACTATTACACATGAAAAGTTTTTAATGTTATGAAAATATTCCTATAGTATAATGCTAACTGGAATAAAGCAAGCAGCAAAACTGAAGAAACAATACAGTCCATTTCTGTTTTTAAAAAGCTCTAGGCCAGGCGCGGTCGCTCACGCCTGTAATCCTAGCACTTTGGGAGGCTGAGGTGTGTGGATCACTTGAGGTCAGGAGTTCCAGACCAGCCTGCCCAACATAGTGAAACCCCATCTCTACTAAAAATACAAAAATTAGCTGGACGTGTGGTGGGCACTTGTCATCCCAGCTACTTGTGAGGCTGAGGCAAGAGGATCGCTTGAACCAAGGAGGCGGAGGTTGCAGTGAGCCAAGATCACGCCATTGCACTCCAGCCTGGGTGACAAGAGTGAAACTCCGTCTCAAAAAAACAAACCTCTAAAAAAAGATAGGAAGGAAATATGTTAATATATTGTTATTATCTCTAGGTGGTGCAGTTACAAGAGCTTTAAAAAACTCTTAAAATATTTTTTCTGCACTTACTTTCTCCAGTAAAAGAAATATCTTTCTAATTTAAAAATATAGGCCAAAACTTTGTCACACTGTTAGGCACATATATTCATTCATTACGTATTAGAAGTGAAGTGTTACTGACCTATGGCTGTAACTGCTATCACTACTAGCTCTAATCCTAAACTTAAGCATAACCCTAACCCTAACTTTGAAAAAGCAGTGCTAGGGACAATAAAGGACAAGTGACAAAAGAAGGTCCCTACTTTCAAGCAAGGGAAGGGAAAGAAACTGCCAGTTGTTGTCAGCCCCTTCTGTGAGCTAAATAATGGGCTAGGCATTTTACATGTGTTATCTCACAGAATCCTCACTACCATTGTGTTTGGTAATATCTTTATGCCTATTTTATAGGTAAGAAAATTTTTAGCAAGCATGCGCATTTCACCTCCCAGAGGGGAGGATTCTGGGGTTCATTCTTCCTGGACTGGAATACCCTACATAATTTCCAGGTGTCAGCATTTTTCCCTGCAGCCCATTCTTTCTCTGCTATTGTTCCACTCCCACCAAGTCAATGCTGATGCCCAAAGCCCCTTCTGAGAGTATACATGGAATATGCATGTGAAGGAGACTCACTACCCTCACTTATTAGGAATTCTTTTGTCCAGTGCTGGGTGGGTCCTTGATTTATCGCTACAGGCACTTACTGGTTCCTGGAATAACCAGGGCTGCTTCTCATAGTTACTTCATGACCAAGTGGTTTCCGCCTCTGATTGCTCCAGTTATTGTTCTCCAGGGAATCACAAATGTGTCTCTCCGCATTTGAAGCATGATAGCCAGCTCTTCCCCACTCCCTACAACCTGTCCCTGTTCACAGCGTTTCCATGAGCCCCTGTAGTCCCTTAGCCCCACATGGACTGTGCAGGCCCCACAGACCTGCCAAGTCCTACAATGGTGGCATGGCCATGGAAATGAAGGAGCCTCAAAATGTGCATTAACTGAGCACTAATTCCAGAATTGTACTTCTGACACTACAGCAATGCCAATATAGAAACAGACAGGCAGGTGGGTGAAGGAAACATCTCGGACTCAAGGAAAATGAACAAGATGATCATCGCTAGAATACGATAGAGACTACCCCACCAATGTAGGCATTAAGCTCGGGGTCCCTGCTACTGATAGTCTTTCATTAATCTCTTTAAATAGTTTCTATGGTCTTAAGTGCTTTTGTTTTCTCCCTACATCTCTTGGTATAATTTGGTAACTAAATCATGGTTGACTATCACCCACAGATGAGCATAAATGAGAGTTAATGCATCTAAAACTGAACACAAACACCTGGGGGAGGAACTGTGAAGGACCCCAACACCACCACCACCCTCACCACCCCTGTTGTCCTGCATATCCACAGCCACCATGGTTGCCTTGGCCAGCAGAAGCCCAAAACTGAGGTAATTACCACCTGTATTTCTCACCTGCAGCAACCTTCACACTTAGGTTCCAAAGAGAAGCTTCAGGAAAGGAAGTCTGAAGCGTAGTGGTCCCTGCCCACCATTGTTAGATCTCTGTGTTGGTGCCCTTCCCTACCGCCCTCTTCCATTGTCCCTCTGTTCCAAATCCAGTCTTAGCCCATCCTTCAGAGTTCACCTTCTTACTCTCCCCAAATCAGTCCTCTCACTCTGCCACCACTGCCACTTCCTTCACTTTGGCCTCCTCATCTCTTCACTGGATAAAAGCTTAGGCTCTGGTGCTAGACCATCTGGCTCCAGATCATACTGACTGTGTGCCAGTAGGCAAGTACTTCATCTCTCTACGTCTCAGTTTCCTGATATGTAAAAGGGAAATAATGATAATTCCCCTCTCAAAGTGTTGTTGAGAATTAAGTTAATGCATGTAAAATACTTATAACAGTGCCTAGAATTGATTAATAAATGCTAGTTGTTACTTTTACTGTCTTTAAGCCACATTATTGGAACTGTTTCCCCATTGCCTAGCCTTCTCTTCCATTTCATCTTCCACTCAGTTGCCAGAGTGAATCTTCTAAAAGGCAATTTTAATTGTCATTCTCCTGCTGAAAAGCTCTTCAATGGCTTTTTTATTGCCTATTAGTAACTAACTTCTTGAACTAGACCCACAGAATTCTACATGCCTCTCTGCCCTATCCTCTGCCATTCTCCCAAAAGACTATGTGTTTCTACATCTTGAGTTTCTGGAACTTAACCTGACACCCCTTCATCTCCTTTGCCCACCCCCAGTGTTCCTTTGAGCCCTTCCCTCTGACTGGCCCATTCCTACCCCTTCGTGCTTTTAGCAAAATTATCTTGGGGCTTCTAAATGCTGCTCACGTCTCTTTTGAAGTCTCCCCACTCCCAGTCAACAGCGAGGCTGTATGTTCCACATGCTGGAAGGCCAGAGCACTGGGTTCAACCCTCTATTTCATCACTTAACTCAGGGTGCTACCCCACAATTATGCACATGCTAGACTTCCCCAGACCATAGAAGGAGACGCAACCAAATGTTTATGGAATCTACTGTGTACCTGGCACTATGTAAGGACTTGATATACTTTATCTTACTTAATACCAATAATTAATAAATTGAAAAGAATTTTACTTTTTGTTTGATATTGACACAAATTATGATATTTATTCTAAAGTATGGAGAAAAGTAATCATTATTAATTTTCCTTATTTCAGTTAGCTAAGAGAAACTTCTCAAGAGACACTTTAGCACTGCATTAATCTATTAATAATTTGGTTTGGAGTTCTCAGAGTCAAAACCTTAGCTTCTTTTTCACTCTAAATTATGTTTAAAGATTCATCCATGTTGTTGCACATCACAATAGTTCAGAAATGCTAGTCACAGAAAACTACACAATGTACAATACCATTCTTATAAAGCTCAAAAACAAGAAAAGTAAATCATATATTGTTTATGAAAATATGTGCTGAACTATACCTCCCAAAAAGCAAAAGAAGGATAAACATAAAACCCAGGACAGTGTTATTTTTGGGGGAAGTAGGAGAGTCAGAATGGGGAGGAGCCCTAGGTAGCATTGAGGATAGAGGTGATGTTCTGCTTGTCAAATTGGAGGGTAGGCTCTCAAGTGCTCGCTTTATTATTGTGCTTCATAACCTTTACATACACTGCATCTAGTCCCTCATATGTAGCAAATATTGCTATCTATGTATGTTCATATATATTTTTTGTTGCTATTATTATCATTATTACTATTACTGACCTCCTTTAGGGGAAAGACTAACAATTACGAGCACCTGGGTGCTAGAGAGAGCCTGCTAGATAATTCCTCACAATACCCTTATGAGATAGACATTATTTTCCCAAAATAAAAATTAGAATATTAAACTTAGAAATGGTGACTAGCATGCCCAAAGTCTCCCTCTGTGCCAAATATCTTCCATTTGCACCTTGAATCCATTCTGTATCTTCTCTCCACTACCCAGTGCCCTGGGGAGTTGACCTACATGGACTACATCAATGGGCTCCCCTGTCATCTGGCTTCTCGGTACATTCAGTCAATGATGACAGGAGATGAGAGAATGGGAAGAGAGTGGGGTCAAGGTACCAATTCCCCTGCTCCCTGTCATGGAGTCACCATGTGTTGGTGGCATCTTCCACTGAAGGCCACAGTTCCTGTCAGGCAGCCTCTCACAAAGCTCTCCTCTCTCTTAGAAGTGGTAATGTTTCCCCTCCGTGCTGTTTCCAGGCCTGCAATGCCTGAGGGATCCAAACCTTGCTGGTTTCTCTGTTCTCTGCCCACAGCCTTATAAACTGTGTCTTGGTTAAAGTCTTCCCAAATTACCCAGGTTGAGGGGCCATATGTTTCCCAGCTGCAGAAAGGTAGAGCTGGGATCCGAAGCTCAGCATCTTCCATCTAGACTAAGATGCCTCTTCATCCTTTGCTGCAAAAGCTGATATGACTCTAAGGAAGGTGATTACTAACGATTGCAGTTACTACTGTGGCTTTATGTTTCCTAGCAGCATGGTAGAATGCTATTTGCTCTTCAGGGCTGGGGTTACATATAGCCAACAATAGGGACACCTAACTGGTATTGCTGGAAATGTGTGTAAAAAGTATCTTGTTTATACATAGAAATTATAAGCTATTTATACATAGGGTTTAAATTCAAAATGGATAAAGAAATCAACAATGATCTTTAAAAGGTATGTTTTAGGGAAATGTAAACAATGTGACCTAAATGTTCTCATTGGTCCTATTATCTGGCCTTTCCATCACCTGATCCCTCCCCTTCCTCCCCACATCCTCCTTTTATTGATGATCCCAGAGCAAAGAGTAAGGTATCAACAACACATCTCAACAGGCCCTTACAACAGAACATGTTTCATGGCAGTAGTTTGGATAGCTCAGGCTCTCTCACGCAGAAAATAGAGGCAGGAAACCCTTGCAGTTTTTACCCCTCTTCTTTCAGCTGTCTTCCTGGTTCTCTCTGCTTACACCTATTTTCTGGTAATGCTGCACAAAGACAGTGCAGGCCATAAGCCCAACTTATGTTTTGCTGAAATCCGTAGAACAAGAGCAAATGTTATCAAATAATAGGCCACAAGTAAAGGCACCTTGATTTGATTGACATTACAGAATAACTCATCCTAATTTCTTGTTATCTTTCCTCACCAATATGATAACCACATTCCTTGGCAGAACACTCAGTATCTCAGTGGAACTGCTAAGAGCAGATTAAGTGTCAGATACATCAACTGGTGCCCTTAGGAGTCACAGAAAGAAGGTCGTGACAAAGCAGGCTAACAGTGATGATGAAGAGGAATTCAATGCAATAAAAGTAACCCAGGATTTCCTTACTAGATGTAGTGCTTAGAAATTCCTATTTCAAGCATTTCGTCAACTCCCAATAATCACAGTGGGTAGATTATCCACACTGTGGGCTAGGCCTGGACAGTTGTTTACTCTCAGGCTGGATTTTCTATCCTGTCTTTCAATTTCTAGGGACATTCATCAGCTGATCACATCTGAGTATTTTCTTTCCACTCCTTTCACGTACAAGTAACTGTAAGCAGACAGCAGACCAGGACAAAAAAATGTTAGATAAGTGTAGGTGGATGACAGTAAAGATAACATGAGGCCTCACCAAGATTCCTATCCAGAACTTGTCTCATAGTAGACACTCAGTAAATATTTGTTGAACTGAGTGGATGGAGTTATTGAAAAGTTGAATTAGAAGACGTTTAAGGTTTCTTCCCACCCTGTTACCTATGACTCCTCAGAATAAGATGATGGAAAACCTGAGTGACCTAGGAGATAGATGCCCAAACTCATCAGGAGCAAGACAGAGAAGTTAAAATGACGGGACTCATCTCAGGCCAAGATGGACGCTGAACGAATAAGTCAGGACTGATCCAAGCTGTTACACCCCAACAGGATCCTTGGTCCTGGGTAATGCCCCAAAATTTCCACCTGGAGTCGAAGGGGACTAAAAAGAAGTTCTCTTAGGATTTAAGGTATAGACAAAATCTTAAGTGAAATCCCAGACCTTAACTTACTTAGGAAGTCTGAGAAGAGAGCACTTAGATGCATATTGGTGGGGGTGGTAATACTCTGTTCTGAGGCCCTGGATTTTATGATGCATTGTTTTTTCCAATATCACAGAAACCTAGAATTCGGGGCAGGAAAGATTCTTAGAAGTTATCTAAGCCCACCTTCAACCCAGTAGAGGAACTTTTTCTACAGCATCCCTAACAGAGGGTCATCTGGTCTCCAGTGACAGGAAGTTCACTTTCTCCAGAGGCAGCAGCAGTGTTGCTAGACAGCTTCCATGTGGGCAGGTTCTTTCTCCTGATTCTAACGTCCACCCGTTAATGCAACAGAGGCCATGCCTGTTCCCTCATTTCTGGGGCAGCTCTCCTGAAGTCAGGAATTGCGTTTTTTGTTGTTTTTTTTTCTTCATCTTCATGCCTGCCAGCAAACATCCCTCATTCCTTCAACTGTGGAGACATGGATTGTGGGTGCCTTAATGTGCTGCTTCCTTGACAGCACTCTAACTGATCTATGTAGTTCTTAAAATGAAGCTGGCCAGATGAATGTTACAGAGTTGAATGCAGTGGTCCAGATATGGCCTGGCCTACAGAGAGGAGAGTGGGACTATTTCTTCCTATTCATTTCTAAATTATCAACACTATCTGTTTAATCATCTATTCTAAAATGGTCCCCCAAATGGCCATTAAGTTTGCTGGTTCCTTAAATTCTAGGATCCTCATTCACCACTCACTTATCCTTATTTGTTTGTCTTCTGCTGGCTGGTTCATCTCCTACGCTACAATGCACTCCCATCTTGGGCTGCCTTTTACTATTACTGGTTTGGCACTGGGTAGGAAAATACCCAGGTTTCCCCTAAATTTCTCAAAATGTGTGTTCCTGTTCACCACAAATCCTCAATCTACCTGGCATAGAGAAGCTCTAAATACTTGTTGACTACATAATGAATAAATGCATGAATAAATAGGTAGCAAATGTTGGTCAGGAGAGGTGGCTCATGCCTGTAATCCCAGCACTTTGGGAGGCTGAGGTGGGTGTATCACTTGAGGTCAGGAGTTCGAGACCAGCCTGGCCAACACAGTGAAACCCCATCTCTAATAAAAATACAAAAATTAGCCAGTTGTGGTGGCAGGTGCCTGTAATCCCGGCTACTTGGCAGGCCAAGGCACAAGAATCACTTGAACCTGGGAAGCAGAGGTTACAGTGAACCGAGATTGTGCCACTGCACTCCAGCCTGGGTGATAGAGTGAGACTCAGTCTCAAAAAAAAAAAAAAGCATCAAATGATCAAATGTCACCTACAGGCTTGATCACACCAGCCTGTAACAATCCACCTCCAACAACCAGAGCCTGTCTTTTTAGCATCCTGGATCTGACCCAGATAAACAATTTCTTCTCATCAGTATCATCTACTGAGTCTAACAGTTAATTTTCATTGTTCCCTTTCTCTTCCAAAGCCATGGCTACAAAGAAGAAAGTGGCAAATATAATCTGACCTGCTAAGTTATTCAGTTTTCCTACCCCAAACTTCACTGTCTTTAGAACAATCCTGTTCCATCCAACAGCCATTATGTGTGACATGTAGCCAAGAGAATTAGGAAGTGACTGGTGGGCATGACTAGGTGAACTCTGCGGCCTGCCAGGCACTTACACTCTTCATGAATGCAGGTCCCTCAGGAGGCAGGGCAGCAGGCATCACAGAACAGTTCTTCCCACTGGCAATAGGGCTCTCGCCTGCCCTGTGAAGAGCCTTCCAGTTCTCAGGAGTGCAGATTGCACTGATGTGACCACCCCCTGAGAAGCAGAGAGCCTGCATCTTGTGTGTTCCTTCAGTGATAATGTATTATTCCACCTTTTTCATGACCTTCCTCTCAGCCCCTCTTGGGTTTTGTTCCCCTTCACCCCAGCGGAAATCTTTTCTTTTTAAATTGCTTCCCGTCTGTTTTGTCCCACTCTTTGCTTAACAAGTCAGAATGAAGAAAAGTATTCTTCCAACTCTTTCCCTCTTTATTCTAAAGAAAAGATGAGCATCAATTAGCTGCAGCTATGTGATGAACACGCAGGAAAGAAAAATTTACCCTTTGTGTCTTCCGGGATCCCAATTTCTTCTGTCTTTAAGAGAACTGAGAGTTCATCACAGCTCCCTATGAAAACTTCTATTGTAAATTGCTTCAGAAAATTCCTGGTTTTATGCCTGTTAGTCACTTACTTAGGAAAAGTGCTTTAAAAAACTGCTTAGCTCCTAGATGGCTAAATTGCTAAATTACCTATATCAATCACGAGTTATTTAGTCTACCTCCTTGCCTCTGAGACAGATAAGAGTATTTCTTCTTTATAATGACCCCCAGAAAAAAAATCTTTCATCCTTATATTCATTGTTTCATGCACTCAAAGTTTATAAGTTCTTCTTCAGATATAACCCAAATCCCTTTTACTGAAGCTTAAGACCTTTTATGTTTTTTCTGTTCCCAGTGGATATCATAAAGAAAAAAAAAAACAGACACTATTCAGCATCTACTTGTTCAGTCTTCTGCCCGAAGTTCTTCAGGGCTCACAATTCCATTCAACATCCTTCCAAGCATGTGATGACTGCTCTTAAAATCCCCTTTACTACCTGCCCATCACCTCCCAACCACTCCTTTACATTCATCTCTTCTTTAGCTCTCTGAAATGCAGTACTTGCCTCACTCAACACCTGCTTCAAGAACTTAATCAGCACATTCAAAAATTATCCCAGGTCTTCCAGCAAAGGCAAAGCTGGATATATAGCTCCTCCCTGTAATTCACTAATTCTTCTATAAAATGCACAGAGACAAGACGAAGGTTTTGAAAGCCCAAAGAACCATTTCTTATTTGCCACAACAAACATTTCACAGGCTTTGGCCCCACTAAGAGACAGAGAGCAGTGCCGTCGCTGCTCAAGAACAAAGATGGTGAGAGAGCACCGGGGCTGGACTCAGGAGGGTTGAGTTCTAGACCAAGCTCTGCCACTGACCCTTGTGAACCACACACATCCCCTGTCAGCCCCTTTCCCTAAGCAGGACATGACATGTATCTGCCTAGATTGCTCCTCAGGGCTCTCCCAACTCTCACATCTTGTGGTTCTCTGATCAAGTGAAGCTCTCTTCTCTTCCGTCTCAACTATGTCCTTGGCGTGTCTCCCACACCCACCTTGTGGCCAGTGCTACCTAGACCAGTGTTTCTCACACTTTTTAAAATTATCATCCTAGGCCCCGAAGGAGCCTTTTTAGATCTTTTTTCCCTAATCACCCTACCCAGTGAAAATTTAATACCACACATATACTGTACCTTGGTAGAGTATGTATACCTGTGTTTAATACATGGAAAAAAAAATCTTTTGCTATCCCCAAGAACCAATTTTCACTCTCTTTGGGGGCAATATCACTCCCACTGAAAATGCATGACCTAAATCAGTGTCATAGAGTGTTTCCTGTAGCTGAGTGATACAGAGTTGAGTGTCCGGAGTTGCCACTTCCAGCTCCCACCCCATTCACATGAATCTCAGCAGTAACAATGGGAATGAGGCAGACAATGGACAATGGTGTTCCAGGAATGGTTAGAATCCACTGGAAGAGCAGAAACCACTAGGGTCCCTGGCAGGGATGGAGGCTCCTTCCAAAACTGGCATCAGCCCAGCTCCCCTCCCGCTCCCCTGCAGGCCATTCCCCTTCCCCTTACCTTGGCACGCTGGCCAAATACGTCACGAGTTTCCGCAGGTCTTCCTGTCTTATTCTGTCATGATTGCTGCGAGCAGGGAAGGTCAGGATGGGTCCGCCTCGCTTATCACGACCCCCTGCAAGAAGGAGGAAGAGAAGAGTGTTTAAGAAAACCAGTCAGAAAGGAAAGCCACAGAGGAAAAAGAAATCTGTCTGAGTGCTGGGTGATCAGACAGAAATAGGGTATCCAGAGAAATCTGGTCACTGCTTAGGACAAGGTGGGGGGGTCTAGATGCAGGTAGCACATATGACCGTGGGCAAGTCTTTTGGCTTCTCTGGTGCCTCATCTGTAGAAGGCAGATGAAAACAGTACTGTGCACATTACAGGGCTGTTGCAAGAACTGATGAGTTGGCACATGGGGATGCACTTGGAAAAGTAAAGCTCTCTACAAATGTGAGATGATAATGAAAATGGTGATAACTGTTCTTATTGAGAAAACAAGCTGGTGGAAAGTGCTATGTTCTTTGGAAATTTAACCTCTAATTTACTTCTCTTTATAGACCTCTGTGAGGTGGGAGTGCTTGTGATGAGCTGACTACTATGGTGAGAAGACCTCAAAGCATCCATCCCAGGATAGCATTACTGGGAAGTTTTCAGATTCATAGAAAAAACATTAAGTATTTTTTACACAGCCAAAAAACCACCCCTGCCTGTCTGCCTGAGGTGCCACCTGTCACTCCTGCTAGAGGAGCACATGAATCTTATCAGAAATCAGAATGCTCAAGGTCTTAATCACTGCAAATGCATACATACATACTGAGATTACAAGTGTTTTCTAAACATCACATTTAAAATAACTGGAAGGAGTATACCAAAATGACAATTTCTGTTGCTATTAGAAGGCCAGGATTTTGGATCGTTGCTTTTTCTTTCCTCTACTTTCCAAATACCCTATTCACTATTTATTACATGATTTTAAAATGTATTCATTAATGGACACTATGCTTAGGAAGTGGAACCAAGTTTCTCAGGGGCGTTAAACAGGAAAAAAGTTAAGGGTAACTATGACCTTACAGGGCACTGGCCATTACACAAAGAAAACCACTATGTCATGATCACAGACTCTTCACGCCACATCTCAGGTGGCCACTGGATATACCCCAGAGTAGGACCACAAAGGGATCTAATGAAAGAGAGTGGAGAGGTGCGAACCTCACCAATACTGGAAAACAAGGATCTCTTACACAGAGGGCAGAGTCTCCCAGGGATCCCGCCCAAGTGTGAGTTCATGAATAAGGTTTCCTTCTGGTTAAGGGGTCCAGAAGCCACACAGATAGAGGGGAGGCTTGACAAAAAAATCAATCCAGAATACCCTTGAGGAGGAAGTAAGGAGGCTGCAGAGAGAAAAGGATTACATAAGATCAGGCCACTGTGAGATTCAGCCCTGATGAAAAAGTGTTTCAGCACCACCACCACTGCCCAGCGCCCCCACTCAGGGCAGATTCATACAGATTAACTCAGAGTTGGACCTTTCATACCACTAGCCCTGGTTCTTTGACGTGATAACCACCCTTGTCTCATCTGCCTTGGAAATGGTCCCCATCTCTCCATTGCCTTCCACATGAGGAAAAGGAAGCGAGAAAATTAAATGGAAGGTTTCCCAAAAGCTGGGAGGTCCTCCAACACTCTCAACCTTCCCCTCTATCCTTGACCTCACCCCAAGCATTGTCACTCTGGCAGTTTGTTTGCTTGTTTTACCATAGCTGTTGTTTTTTTCCTGACCTTCCTTGGACATTATACAAGTAGAGTCTTGGAACCACAAGGAACCACAGCTCCAACTGGCAAAGGGTGGCTTGGAGGGCTGGCTGACACTGCCCCTCCCAAGCTAGAACCAGGGCTGGCCTTGGAGACATGAGATTCAGGATCACGGCCGGGGAGCTTTTTAGATGGCTGGAAGATAGTCACTTTTTCTTTCCTCTACTTTCCAAACTTCCTATTCACCATTTATTATATGATTTTAAAGTGCATTCACTAATGGACACTATGCTCAGGAAACAGAATCAAGTTTCTGCTTTTTTTTTTCCCTGTCTGACACTCCTGAGAAACTTGGTTCCACTTCCTAAGCATAGTGTCCATTAATGAATGAGCTTTCAAATCATATAATAAATAGTGAATAGGAAGTTTGGAAGGTTCAGATGGAAGGGAAGGAGGAGTTAGAAGAGAAAGCCTGGAGAATTCTAATTCCCCACATCCAGAAGTGTAGATAAGGAGTCAAGAGGAGGCAGCAGGATCAAGCCATGTGGTATTCAGAAAGGAAGAGACCTTTGAAGATTATAGAAAAAAGGAGAGGAATGAGCCTAGAGGAAGAGAATCTTTATGCTGGGAAGGGTAGGGACAACAACGGAGCAAGGTCTCAGGGAAGGCATAAGGCGGGGGCCCAGCCCACAGCAGATGGGGCTGCCCCCCTCTCTGAGGCAGGCTGTTGAACTCCAAGAGAGAGGAGGAAATGGAGATACGTGGTGGAGAGGGAAGAGTTCAGCCTGCCTGAGGGACATGGTTCTTTGGGTGGAACAGTAGACAAGAGGCAGTCCAGGGTCAGGGTAGGCTTAGGGTACTGAGGAGAGGGAAATGAAACCATCACTGGAGAACTTCTCTCGAGAATGACAGTAGGACTGGGTAGGACATGAGCTTCAGGGTTGCTGACAGGATACTAGGGCACAGCGAAAGCTCTGTTGAAAGCTTTGGCCACAGTATCTGTGCCAGGCTCCAAGCTGAGTGAAGGCAGAGTGGAGCTAATGCACCATATAAATGGGGTATGCCCAGGGAGGGTGGGAGATGTTCTATTGGATGATGAGATCCCAGAAAAGAGGGAAAGGTGTTGATTTTATTCCTCTCATATCCATCCTCTCCCAAATGACAAGAGGATATCAGAAAGGTCAAAGTAAGGGACTAAAACCACAGATAGACACATCAAGGGTCAAGATCTTGGACGTGCATAATCATGGTAGGTAGGTGGAGGACTTTCGTACCAAGGAGGCTGAGTAGCAATGAAGCTATAGGATTTGATCAATAATTGACATAGATGCTGAAATTACAGAGGACAATAAGCAGAGATGAATAATAAGGACCCCATGATAAAGTCAATGTAACAATAGATCTGCAAGATGTTAATGGATATGCATCACAGACACATAAATTTTTAGGGAATGAGGTTATTCTTTAGTTTGGAAAATGCCAGATTAAAAAAAAAAAATAAAGTTCTTTACTGCAGGACTTCCCAGAGCCTTAAAATGTTAATGTATTTTAATGGATATTGTAATTCTCCAAGAAGGAGAGCTAGAATGTCCAGCATTTCCCAAACTTCTTTGAGAGTAGAACCCCGTTTTCTTTGTAGAGGATCATCCTGTGGAACTGATCTTGGAAAACACTTTGAGAGATGCAGGTCCAGGGTACGAAAGATTGTGCCACAGCAACATAAGGTTCCCTGGGAACGGTGGAAACCAATAAGGAAAACCACATTGGTGGGAGATAGGGAGGCAGAGAGGAATCATGAGGAGGTGGCCAAAAGGAAGGCGTGTATGCACATAAAGACAATAGGATGAAATGGACCCCACATGAGAAGGCTGGATAAAAGGGACAATGGGTGCTGTGACTTCTAAGTAGTACAAAGGACATCAGAGAGGCCAAGGGGAGCTCGTGAGCTGTGAATGACAGAGCAGAATGGGGCAGTGCTGGATAACAACGGAGGCTCACTGAGGGACAGCCCCAAATCCTGTCTCACAGACATGCACACGCCCACATGCAGAAGCTTCTGGGCTGCCCTGGATTATTCCCAATGTACGTTCCCATGGCAGCATGGCTTTCCTTTTGCCTGGCCAAGGCTGGGCGCTAGCAGAGGAGGGCAGGCTCAATTAACAAACAGCCTGTTTCTCTGCTCACCACCTTCCTTGCAGCGCTTTCTTCTTCTCAGAAAGAAATCCAACTGTTAAACTGCATTATTTAATTATAGGTTTCTTCATTTTGTTTTATTTTTGCATTTTATCTTTTAAAAGCTCAGGATGTAAGAGTTGGTTGGTTTGGTGTTTTTTTTTTGTTTTTTTTTTTTTTGGTTTTGGGGGTTTTTTTGTTTTGTTTTGTTTTTGTTTTTTGCTTTTTTAATGCAGCCAGTCATTATCTTCCCAGTTTATTCAGTGTCCTTCCCAGACACGGAAGGGCAATGTTCCCTAAGCCCAGAAGTTTCTGGCACCACAAGCGCAGGTGCAGTTGAATAAGGCTTACCCCAGGCTGTTCGGCTTACGCTGGCAAATGGGGGAGAGCTATGCTCCCAGCCCCCTTCGTCCTACTCAGGGAATTTTCTACCTGCCTCATTCCTGACTGCCTTCCTGGCCACGTTGCTTCTATGAGCTCCATTAGGACAAGCCCCTACCACTTGAGAAGGTTTTTTTCTGAGGCTCTGCCCAGGGCTCTGACTGAATTTACATGGGAAAAAATAAACCATGAACATCAAGCAAGGGTCTCCATGTCAGAGTGTATTGTGCATGCATATGCCCCAAACTGATGTGGAATAGGATGATTCTCAGAGGAATACATTAGATCCAGGAAGGTCTCCTGGAGGAGGTAAAGTAGAAACTGACTCTGGAAGGAGAGGAAAGGCTCAACTTGGCAGAAGTTATGGAGAAGGCACTGCAGAGGGAAAGAAGTGTCAGGCACAAGAGAAATGGGAGTATTGGCAGGATATCCAGGGGACAGGAAGAACATCAGGTTAACTAAGGACCATAAAAAGAAGGAAGAAAAGATAAGATTGGGCTCCCAGAGGGCTGTGGGCCACATCCTTGGGAGCCCAGGCTACGGGGATCAGCAGAAATCAGAGGCCTGGCACTGCTCAGTGGCCTCTAGGATTTCTGCACAAGGTCTTCCCATATGCTTAGCAAGAAATCAGAATCCAAGTTTCTAAAGGTTTTAAAGGTTGTGTTACCTATGCCTCTCCCCATACCCAAATCACTGCTGCGTAATCCTGCCAAGGAGTTGTTCTGCCTGTTCAACATCTTCAGTGGCAGGGGGCTCATTACCTTATAAGATATACTAGCCCCTAATGGGAAGAGGCAGCTGCCAGGTCACTCTCATCTAACAGCAATGGCAATAATAAATTACTATTGCTACTACTGCTAACAATAATTACAATAATATAGAATGCATTTAGTCATTACAAAGTCTTCTGCACACTCCCATTGCATGCCTGCCCTCACCTCCCACACCTACACTCTGAATCATCAGGCTCTCGCCTTTTCTCCGATGAGGTGGGAGACAACTGCTGCTTAACTTCCCCTTTCCTTTATCCTCTTCCCGCCTCCTCTTCTCTCTATTTTGGCTGTCGCCCAACAGCCAGACCAACAGTGCCTGTGGCATGAACCTCTGCTCTACAGGACTGGACTAGCTCTTGCTCTGTGACTCCACTGCTACTCCTTGTAGATAACCAAAATCACCCAGAAATAAAGGTTTGGTCCATGTGGTATAAGCACGTGGCATGTTTCTCAAAATACAATCTTTCGCTACTAACACTGTCTATCCCAGCCTCTGCCTCAGACCCTACCAGAAATTCTGATCCCGGAGGCCTAGAGTGGAGCCCTGCAACAGGCACCCAGAGTGATTCTGGCATACCTTATTGTTTGAGAACAACTGCCTTAGGGGCTCTGGCCAGTCTTTGGCTTCAATTATATCAGGGGTCACCGGACTTTTTCTTAAAGGGTCAGAGAGTAAATATTTCAGGCTCATGGGCCAAATGGTCTCTGCAATAGCTACTCAACTCTGTTGTTACAGCGAGAAGGCAGCCATCAACACAATCTGTAGTAGGTTGAATAATAGCCCACAAACATATCATGGCAAAGACTTTGCAAATATGATTAAGTTAACCATCTTGAGATAGGGCAATTATTCTAGATTATCTAGGTGGGCCCTAAATGTAGTCACAGGTATCCTTAAAAGAGAGAGGCAGAGAAAGATTTGACACAGATGCAAGAGGAGAAGGCAATTTGACCCTGGAGGTAGAGATGGAAATGATGCAGCCACAAGCCAAGGAATGTCAGCAGCCATTGGAAGCTGGGAGAGGAAAGGAACCAATTTTCTCTTAGAAACTCTGGAAGCACAGCCCTGCTGACCCCTAGATTTCAGCCCCATGAAACGGATTTCTGGCTTCCAGAACTGTGCAATAATGACTTTCTGTTGTTGCAAGCCACTAAGCTCATGGAAATTTGTTGCACCATCAATGGGAAACTAATACACTCCATAAACAAATACACATTGCTGTGTACCAATAAAACTTTATTTATAAAAACTGGTGGATGGCCCACCAGCTACAGATTGCTTACCCCAGAGTGAGACATTAAGAGGTCTTTGTGCACAAGATGTATGGGAGAGAGAAGTCAGATATAAATATTTGGAAGTCATTATTCAGAAAAAAACAAAAACTAAACATCTAAACATGAACCCTCACTTGAGTTCCCTTTGCCAGGACAGAAAGATAAGGAGGAAGCAAAAACTCCTTTAAAAATCTCCCGTCCCTGATCCATGCAGAAATGAACTCAGATAAAACCTCCAGGAATGTGCCAAGTGCACAGATTCTCCAGTTGGAGCAACTCTCACAGGGCCAGGCCAGGGGGCTGAGGTTGGGTGGGAAGCTCAGGGAATGTCCCTTTGGTTCTGGGTGTCCTTTAGAACACTCAGCTGGGGCCAGAGCCCTCCTTTCTCCCTCCCCATCTGCCTCAGGAGAAAGAAAGCAGCTGCCCCAAGCATAACTTCCCCACCCCTACTTCTCCCCTACTAACACACAAGTGAATCTGAACACATGTGCACACACACAACTTCTCTAGGTCCTTTACAAAAGAAAGTCCCACAAATACTCACCAGACACGAAGGCCACCTTTTCCTTTAGGATAGGAAGGACATCAGAAGCTTTCAAACCATCATTCCGAAAAGACCCTGTGGGACAACAAACCAGAAGGAATCAGGGTGAGAGGAGCCAGCTGGCTGAATCGCAAGGTCCCATCCTCAGTCTCCCAATCCCATCATCAGCCGGCAAGTCCTGCCTTGTCCAGGTCCTACAGCCCAGCCCGATGGACCAGGAGAGGGTCTGCAACAGAAGGGATACTTCCACATCATGCCAGCCATAGGGGTGATCAGGGCTGCAACCCCCTAGTCCTTCTCAAGGAGAGGACAATCCAAGTCACCCTCCCCACATGGAGAAACCTCCATGCAGTGGGGGCAAAAAAAAAAAAAAAAAAAAAAAAAAAAAAAAAAAAAAAAAACAGCCCTGTTGCTATTGAGCAACTTGAAGCCGGGGGACTTTTAAAAAATCATGTTCGTACCTCTAGTGCCTAGCACAGTGTCTTGAACATACTCAGCACTCAGGAAATATCTGTTGAATTAGTTAATTGATATCAAGATGGATTACAAAGTCCTAAAGAATCCTTCTTGCCTTTCCTCTGGCACAACAACTATTAGTCTTTATTTTACAAACAAGGAAAGTAAACCACAAAACTCCTACAGATGGAAGCAAAGTTGATGACAATACTCCTCTCCCCACCTCTTCCTCCTCCCCTCAATGTCATCATCATTGGTCCACAATAGACAGGAGATGGGGAGATACAAATCTCCTGGGAAGGAAATGCACTACCCACTACCTTGTTTAACTTGTTCTCTTTCTAAATCTTGCTTCTCATTTAGAAAGTCCTTTCTATGTTCTAGTTGAGTTCCTGTTAGGGGGCTGGAGGCAGAATCTTGGGGCTCACAAAGAATGGAAACTAAAGATGTGCCTGGAGGAACAGTAGCCTCAGGAGGCAAAGGACAATCCAGCCCAGTGTGAGATTTGTGGGAAGTCAGGACCCAGCTTCCACATACACAAACCCCAGGCTAGACCATTGCATCCCTATCATTTAACCTAAGAACCCCACAGGGACTCTCAGGGAGAGCCACCCACACTTACAGCGATTCGAGCTATAACTGGGGTCTCTGTTATGTGTCGCCATTAGGGACATGACACAAATAGACCTCAGAAGGCGAGCGGTTGTATGTCAGCTCAGAGAGCAGAACCAGATACCATGGATACCCCCTCTGGTGCCTTTCTCCACTTGGCTTACACCCTTAGGGTCCAAATTTGACAATTGACAGAGGAAAACAACATGCTGGGCAGGACAATCCCACTCAATCCTTCAATCTCTAAACATTGACTGTTTCAAGAAACCCATCCGGGAATTTTGGCAATAAAATTCTGGGCCAGGCGTAAGATCACTGGCCTAGGGAAGTGAAGTGGGCCAACTGCACACTCAACCAAGGAGGAAGAGAGATGTGTGCTCACAATGCCAGTTTCTATGATCAGAGGTCATACCCTAAACCTAAAACAAATTTCCTAAGTGTCTCTGACCATTTTGCCTATTTCTTCTCTTTCATTTTTCACCAAATGAAGACTGCAAGTCTTTTTATTCATCAGTCGTTTCTCTTTACTAGCTGACAGAGAACCAGCTACAAGGCTCACTTTGAGAAGACCTTGAGCAATAGGAAAACAAAGTAACACCATAAAAAAGAATACTCGAATTTCAAAGCCTATAAGCACTATTTTGAACTTTCTATCCTGTTTCTACAGATATTTATGCTCTAATTTTATCTTTTCCACAGAAAAACAATTAAATTTCACTAATAGAGGCTAATTAGGATCAATATAAATTATTACAGAATTTACAAATAGATATATAAAGTATTTTTTTTCATCCTCATGCAATGAGGAGACATTTCAGCTTCCTTGGCAATCTATTAGGCTTTATCTGTTAGACAAGGATCAAGGATCTTTAACTAATACATGACTTGTTTGTGAACAATGATGCTTCTGTATCAAAATACATGATTTTCCTTTGTGAAATATATCTTTCTATACATTAATTTTAAAACGCTTTCCTCTATATCACCATGCACTCCACTAATTTCTATAGAAAAAAATGTAATATAAAAGTTAAATTTCAGTCCTGTCTTCTTTCAGATTATTTACAAGTTCAAAAATAGCAAGGCCCAAACTAATGAGATTTACTATACAAAAAGAGTCCACATAACTCTCTTTTCTCCTAAACTCTTTTCCTATTTTTTTCTACTGCTGTCCCTCTTGTCCTCTACTGTGTTGCAGTACACAAGAGGGTCCTAGTTCTAAATAGCCATAAGATCTTAAGGAAGGGTTTCAAATTTGCTATAATGGAAGCAAAGGGTTCCCCATCCTATCTCCTCTCTACTCCCATCCTTGGAGAGGAAGAGGAAGCTCCAAGTCTCATCCATCACACCCACTCATTGTGCCCCACCTCTTCCTTCTCCCCACCAGGGCCCAGGACCTGAGAGAAGGTGTGCAGCTTGTCCATGCAGCTTGCAGTCATGGGCTCCAGTAAATGTCAATACCTTGGGTTGGGCTGTTCTAGGATTCCTAGGGCTTCTACTTCCCAGGCCAGGGTCCTCCCTGACCCTGTAGAGGCCACTGCTGGGCCTGGTTGTGTGTCCACAAGTAAACCTAAAGTGTCCACATTTACAAAATCCAAACTAGGGGACAATCATTTCCAATTACAACTAAAATTTTCACATTATAAAAGGATTTGCTCCAGAGTCTCTTCAAATAAAGTTCCCCTAGTGATTTGAATCAGTTTTTCACTTGCCAAAAATTAAATTACATATAACTTTTGAACAATATATGTATTATGTAAAGCCAAGTAGAGCTAATTAGCCCAGCAGCTCAGAAATTGGTGACCTTGCATATAAAACCTATTTGCACTGACTAAAGATACTATGTATCATATCAATTCCCCCAGGGCCCTTGTGAAACCAGCTGTTGGAATATATAATAAAGGAGAAGTTCATTGAATGCTAACTCAAACAGGACCAATGAAATAGCAACATGTTTTCACTATCGGGTACGTGTCTTGGTAGACTCACGGTAAATGTTCAATAAATATTTGATGAAAGAATAAATGAATCAATGAAATGTTGACCCTTCCTAAAATGACTTATACAAGGTCAGTGACTTCATTTGTCACACCAAGCACTGGCAATCTGAGTAGATGCCCTCCAGGGTACTACTCAGCTCTAATACTCTGAGACTTTCTAAACCTTCTCTTCATATTTGTTGGCCTTTAAGATCCTCAGGTTATCAGATCAATATGCTTTAAAAGGAAGTACTGGGAATAAATTCCCTAACAAGATTCATTGCACCTTGGGAAGATAAAACATTTCACTGGCTTCCTGGCCCATTTGTCCCCCAGAATCAGTTTACAGATACTCAGGGGCAGATCACCCCATTTTGCAGGTAGCCCAAAATGCCAAAATGGGAGAATAGTGATGGAAGAACTTCAATGAGGCTTAATCTCTTGAAGAAGGCAAGCTTCCATTGCCATTGTTATTTCTGGTATATTTGGTAGAACTATTAGAAAATAAACTCTAGATCACACTTGTGCAACCTGTGGTCTACAGGCCTCATGCAGCCCAGGACAGCTTTGAATGCAGCCCAACACAAACTTGTAAACTTTCTTAAAACATTATGAGATTTTTTTGCAATTTTTTTTTTTTTTAGCTCTTCAGCTGTCATTAGTATTAGTGTATTTTCTGTGTGGTCCAAGACAATTCTTTTTCTTTCAATGTGGCCCAGGGAAGCCAAAAGACTAGACACTCCTGCTCTAGACCAATCATAGACCTGTTTCCATCTAAAAAAAAAAAATCCTGGAAGGCCTGAGAAGACATTAAAAAAAAAACCCCTAAGCCCTTGGAGTTGCTGCAGGAAAAAAAAAAAACAAAATCAGGGATGGCACCTTCATGGACCTGACCCAACGTGGGTGGTGGGTGTTGTGCCTCTTCTTAAGGACAAAGGCATGCTTCACTGGCATTCAGTGCTAATCCCACCCCATTTGTGTCCTGCTGCTGTCAGAATTACAAGCCTGCTGTTCCGTTAATTAGCAAAGTTGAAATGCTCCACATCTATTAAGGAAGTACAAATTACCCCTGCCATCTCCCCAGGATCCTCCAGCATGGGTCTTCTCCAAGCCCCACTTTTGCTTCTCCTTGCTCCAAACGTGTTATGCTTACATTGCTTCTAGTCATCATTTCCCATGTTGGAAAATGCCAGTCAGCCTCACTGTGGCTTCCAGCCTCTGTGTGACCTTACACGGCAATGGTAAAACTGGCCCTTGAGCCCCCCAGCCCTGTCTGTGGTTTTGTGGGTCTAGAGTAGCAGTATATTCCCCAGGGCACCTGGGTGCCTTGTGTTCCATACTAACCTCCTTCAGAAAGCATTCCTGATTTCAACAAGTGAAGAAACAAACAACAGAGTGGGCGTTTATAGAGCATTGGAGGTTCAAGCTGCCAGAGTATCCATGGATTGCTCTTTGTTTCCTTTTGGTTCTCAGTCACACCCCTTTAATGTGCACCTATTTAGAAGTTACTATGTAAGTGTTCTAATGTTGCTTCAAGTGGGCCTGAGCCCTGTTTCTGCACATTTCCCTGTGCTCAGGTTTCTGCCTTCTCTTTCTACTTCACCCGTGTGGTGTCCAGTATAGAAGCCTTACTCAAAATGGCACTGAGTCACTGAGAGGCTGCATAAAAGAGATCTGGCTTACAATTGAGAGGTGCAGGAGCTCATTTGGCTGGACCCTAGTTAGGTTGTAATTTTGAAATTTTCCTATTCCTAAGGTCATTATTTCATTAATTCTATATTGACCACTTACTATGGGCCAGGCCATATGTCGGGCTTCAGTGACAGTAAGACAAATAAGAAATGGATCCTGCTCTCCAAGGGGGCTTCCAAGCAGAGAAAGATGGGTTTCCAAATAGGACAATTAACTGTTATCAGAGACAGGACACCACCTGTACAAAATGCAAGGAGACTAAAAAAAAAAAAAAGAGCTTCTTAAAGATGAGTCCTAAAGCCTTGGTACCCAAGGTAATAAGCATCACATACACCTAGAACCTTGCTGGAAATGCAAAATCTCAAGTTCCACCCTAGACTTACAGAGTCAGAGCCTACATTTTAACAAGAACCCCAGGTGAGGCCAGGCATGGTAGGTCACATCTATAATACCAGCACTTTGGGAGGCTAAGGCAGGCAGACAACTTGAGCCCAGGAGTTTGAGACCAGCATAGGCAACATGACAAAACCCTATCTATACAAAAAATACAACAAAAATTAGCCAGGCATGGTGGCACGCATCTGTAGTCCCAGCCACTCGGGAGGCTGAGGTGGGAGGATTGATTGAGCCAGGGAGGTCGAGGCTGCAGTGAGCTGTGATCATGCCACTTCACTCCAGCCCGGGTGACTGAGAAAGACCCTGTCTCAACAGCCCCCACCACACACACAAAAAAACCCAGCTGATCCATACGCACATTACACTTTGGGAAGTTGTGTACTAAAGTATGTCTTTCCATTCCAGAGTTGCCTCAGAGGCAGAAGATGGAGAAAAGCATGCTGTAGCCTGGCCTAAACAGGACCCCTAAAATCTCATCTAACACTACTCATCACCCCTCTGGCCCCTACCATGGGAAGACCCCTCTCCACTGCCCAGAGATTCCAGAGATTCAGCCATTACCCTATAATCATCTATTATTCAAATTCAGCTTTGGAATAAAAAAGCTATCTGGGAGGTAGATAAATTCCCCCTCCAGGGCATTAAGAGTGGATCACATCTTACTTTTTGGTGGCAGGAGTGTTTATGAATAACACCTGTCCAAACTGCTCAGAATTTTGGTAGCTTAAACCATTCCTTCATGTATCAGATGTTTTAATTTCACCACAAATCTTCCTTCCTACCCTCAGAGCCCTACCTTCTCTAACTACTTTCGGTAGCATAAATACTGTCACCAAGATGCCATCTCTAAGATAGCCCTAAAGGACAGAGAAGCCAGTCTGCTTATGCCTCTTTATCCCACCTGCACCCCCACTCACAGGTACAAAGCCCTGAACACTGGGGAAATGCTGGTCAGGAAACAGAAAGGAGGGGTGCGCCCACCTGGGGAGCTCTGCATCTGAGAACACAGTGCCCATCTCAGGCAATTCTCTCCCTTGGAGGGGAAACCCAATTTCTGCTGAGTTTCCAGCCTAATAAAATACCGAGTGTCCATTTCCCCCAATACCAGGAAGCTACCAGACTGGATAAAAAACCAGTGAAGACTCTGAGATTCTGATAAAAACCTTCCCACCCTTCCCCCAATCTGACCATCCTGTATCCACTATATCTTAATTACTGGTGCCATCATCCACGGAGCTAACCAAACAGAAACCTGGGAAGCACCCTAGACTCCTCCCCCTCCTCCATCACACATATTGATTTGGCTACTTGGTTCTGTTGATCCTACCTCTTAAATCTCTCTCTAATGTGTCATTTCCTCTGTGCTGTTTCCCTGGCCTCCCCATCAAGCTGAGCTGTCTCCAGTTGTACTTTATAATCTATCACTCCTGAATGGCATTTATGTGTTTTCGTTTACTCCCCATTAACTGATCCTGATGCCTTGAGGGTAGGGACCATGTAGTATTCCTTGTTCTACTCCAGAACCTCACACAGGGCCTGTCACAAAAAAGAGTCAAGAAATACTGAAACTGACCACGCACAGGCACAGAGAAGACAGAGAATGGCAAGTTGAGATGATCCATCAGGTCAGTCTCCACAGAGAAGATGATCTTCAAATTAGATTGTAAATAACAGAAGAGGCAAGGGATGGTGGGAAGCAGTACATGCCAAGGCAGAGAGGGAGGGGCAAACAAACTGTACGTCATGGATGAAGGGGTTTTACTCAATGAACAGAAAAGCAGAGTTAGGGGGTGATGAAAAGGAGTGCATGGAGGAGGGTGGGCTCTGTGGTCTGACTCCCAACAGGGTGGACACCTGGGGAGGCATCGGCAAAGATGCCACTGCAAGTGCCTTCGGAGACTCCGAGAGCCAGGTCTGTGCTACATACAGCAAGGGGCAGAGCTGGGTGGAATCTGGCTGGTCCCAGAAGAAGGCTGTGGCTCCTGAACAGGGCTTGGCCCAGCAGGCTCTGATCCCAACCTCCAGGTCACATTCTGCTTTATCTTTGAGGATACGGGGAGGTTGGGACTTGGCCCCTGCTGAGGTTAGTGGTAGAATAGGGGGTAGGGGCACTGGAACTTTGTCTCTTTTGATCTTCTCCCTAAGTCCAAGGAGAGGCAGGAAGCATGTTTGTGGGTAACCTCCTGGGATCTGCTGGGACAGTAGCAGGCTGACAGTTTGTGTAAGACCCCATGAAAGTGCAATGTGAAACTGAATCATAAAGGAAAGAGACTTAAAGTCCTGGTCTCTTCTGTGTAGAAAATGGGTGGAGCCCTTAGGAGAAGACACTGTTAGTCAAACTGGAGTTAGTAGAGAACCTATTAGAAGCAAGATCTTCATTCCCTTCATTCTCCCTTCTTTCATCCCCTCCTTTCCTATGTTAACACAAGAGAAAAAGAGAGAGGTGGCAAGAGTGGGAGAAAACATAAGGTAAAGGGGTAAGAGCAAGAGATAAAGAGCTAGAGAGAAAGATACACACACACACACATACACACACACACACACAGAAAGAGAGAGAGAAAGAAATAGAGGTGAATGTTCCTGTCTCCTCTTTATAGACACTAAGGAGCTATTAAGGAAACTGTTGAAAAATGCCGCCAGTGACTATAAATATGTTCCTTAGAGTTCTCCTTAAAACAGCTACCACCGGCCGGTCTCAGTAGCTCACACCTGTAATACCAGCACTTTGGGAGGCCCAAGTGGGCAGATCACGAGGTCAGGTGTTCGAGACCAGCCTGGCCAACACAATGAAACCCTGTCTCTACTAAAAATACAAATATTAGCCAGTTGTGGTGGTGTGAGCCTGTAAACCTCACTACTCGGGAGGCTGAGGCAGGAGAAGTGCTTGAACCCGGGAGGCAGAGGTTGCAGTGAACAGAGATCACGCCACTGCACTCCGGCCTGGGAGACAGAGGGAGACTCCATCTCAAAACAAAACAAAACAAAAAAAAAACCTACCACCAAGACAGGAAGTGTGTGCTTAGAGAAAGGAATAAACCTGGCAGAGAGAGAGAGAGAGAGGCTGGGCAGCTTTATGTCAGCAACCAAACACACAGCACAGTGTGGAGACCCACATGCCTCTCCCCAACCTGAAAATCTACCTGTGCGCAGTGGGGCCAACCCCCCACAGTCTTCCTTCATCGCTGTCACCCACAAACATCAAATGGACCAAGGAGCATCCCCCTCCTTAGGTGGCAGGTGTGCAGGAGGGATGGTGCAGCAGAGTTCTCCTCCTTGACCATGGGATTTCTAAGCAAAGGACACCCAGGAGCCTCTGCTAACCTGATTTCAACACAAAAAGGGGAAAAAAATGTTCTTCTTTTGGCAATTGCTAAATACTGAGCTTTTCTAAGCAAACTGACCAGGTCTCCTGTAACCTGAGACAACAACCAGGGACTTGGCTGATAACTAGGTCGGGCAGCCTTTACACTGGAGAAAAGCAATGTCTACCTTCTCTCAACTCTGATATGCATTTGAAGTATATTTCCATAAATGACCATCCTCTGCCCTGCACTATAGTGAGCTGGACAGCTTCCTTAGGGTGCCTGCCCTAACTGCTCAATCACCATCTGGGCTGGACTCACTTCTCTGCCTCAGTATATCACTGGCATGTACCTCCCTGTTCTGCCATTGTCCACCACTGCATCTGGCTCCCTCGCTAGACTCTAAGCTCATTGATGGCAGGGGCTGAGTACTTCTCTCAATGACTTTAGTGCTTGGTACACAGCTGGCACTTAATGGGTGACCCAGAGGCAGAGTTTCTCACATCCCAAGTGTCATGACACCTTCTACGTAAAAAGTGTTTAGTAACTGCCATGTCTCTTCCTCCCATGATGCTTCTTTGTGCTTATTTCTACCTTCATGTTCATCTTTCTCCCTCTCTCACATAAACTCTAATTGAGGCCAATTTCAATATGAACTTTCTAAAGTCAATATTAGCTATAAAGACCTGGCTAATGGGCTACCTTTGAGGAATGGAAATTTGTAACACTTTCTACTGCTAAATTAGCTCCATTAAAGATCACTAATAATTAGCACTTTAAACATATGGGTAACGCCTCTCTAAGCCCAGCTAATGAGCAACCATTTCTGTTTATTCTTCACAAGATTTAATATTAGTTTGAGTTGAGACCTCAGCTGCAATACACACAGGCTTACTCACTCTTCCTCCCGCCCTCCCTCTCCAGAAAAGTTGACATCTTGAGTATAGCACAGACACAAGAAAATGGCCACTTCAGAAGTGATTCTATCCACCCACTGTGTTTGTTTTGAAACTGATTCCTTTCTAACTCACCAGGTTACCTAAAGTGCTCATACATCACAGGTAGTGGTGATAGTGGTAGATTTATTGTCTTTTTTGTTACTTTAAGCACTGCTGTTGGATGGGTCCTCAAAGTAACAGAGAACATTAGCTTGTCAGTGATTATTATGATCCAACTGTTGAACATTAGCTGTGTATTTGCTATTATAATATATTTGGAGAGAGTTACAAAGGCGCCGAGGGGCAGAAGGTGTGTGCTGTGCAAGTTCAGACACAGAAAAGCTTTGCTCCTTGGGACCCTCATCTCAGTCCCCCTCCCTTTTCCCCAGCACAAATATCAATAATATTAATACTTAATTTAATCAGGGCATAAAGACTAGTTAAACATGAAATTGCTGACTTGAAAAGTCAGTTTGGGGCTCTGTGATTATGGAAGGCACTCTGGCAGGTATCTAAATATGAAATTGTCCAGCACCTCTTGGATGCTTCTCCCCTCAACCACCTCTCCAACCCCCATATGGGTGGCAGTAAAGTAGCAATGGCTGACCACAGAGTTTAGGGCAGAGGACCCTCACAGGCAGCTCCTGGAGCAGACCCTCTCACCCAAGCCTAGAGTTTCTTCCCACTCCCACTTGCTCTCTTTCTGATTCTACAACCATGCCACTCCTGCTCCAGTGTCCTCACCATGACCATCAATGAGCAATGTCACAGGAATACACTGGCACAGACTGGGCACAGTTCCACCACATACATGGAACAACCAGGACCAAAGTAACAACCAGGTTTGCAGAACTGCAGGTACGGTCTGACAGCTGAGAAGGGACACATCCAAAGGTCATTTTACTGAACAAACTAGCAAACTAAAGCACCCTCTCCCCACTGCCAGGACATGTATGCCGCTGTCCTTGGTCCTGAACTAGTGTGACGTTGCTACTTGGAGTGGCTGCTGTCCATGCTGTCTTAGGATATGCCAACCAAAAGAGAAAGAGGCAGAGATGAAAGAGATGTTAAGATATATCATGGAGATAAAGAAATGTGAAGAAGCATTGGAGGGATATACATACAGAGAGATTACAGAAGAGAGGTTTTTTTGGTATTGTTTTCAAGTTATTGTGGTAACCAAGAAGCAAAGGTCTGTGTACGTACCCATACACGCACACACACACACATACACAGATCCCATGGAAATGAGATAGCATGAACCCTATATGTCCCCTGATACAATGTTCAGGTATCTAGATAAATTGGCTAACCATATCTGATGGATTAGCCATGGAAAGATTCCTGGAGTTTTAAGCAATTTTTGAGTCCCTATTTAAGTTATTGCCTTGGATATCCAAACATATACAATTCAATTCAGTAAATATTTATTGAGCACCTATATGTGTCAGGCAAAGTTACAATTACTGTGGGTACAAAAGTAAACAATATAGAGGTCCTGACCTTAAGGGACTTTTAATTTAAGGAAAGAGTCAGACTAACCAACATGTAATTTCAATATCATGCAAGAAATATAATATAGAGGTACACATGGGGGACAAATATTCAGATAATCCAAAAGAGATACTAAAACTCCAGCTCTAAGGAAGTCTCTAAAATGTGAAAAAGCAGTAAGAAGAGAAGAGGTAATGGATTATGGGATCATTATCTAGGTCCTAGATTGGACAAGACAGGTGATGAGTCTCTGGTGGGTCTAGGAGAAGAGAGGAGACTAACTAAGACACAATGGGATTTTCCCAAGACCTAGACCCTATCCATAATAACAAAGAGATGAGTTAATGTTTGCTGGAGATAAACAACAAAGCTTCCCCTGTGGACCTAGCATAACCAGGGCCCAGCATAAGCTAGAAAATTTGCCATGATTGGGAAAACATTTGACTCATAATGTCTGCTATTTCTTTAGAAAGAAGCATAACAATGTTAAGTGCTAAATAGGAAAGAAGGGGTGATCTGAATATCTCATGAAGCCAAAATCCTTCTCCAGAATTCTGGAGGGTAGACTGGGTAATCCTCAACTCTACTCACCAGAGGACAGACTAAGTTATACTTTTCACCTGACAAACTGAAGCAGGCCTATAAACCCTGCCTCAAAATGTATGTGATGGGGGAAAGCCATGAACCTCATGAAACTGTACACAAACCATTGCATATCTGTCCATATGTGTCCATTTTTCTGAGAGACAATCTTTAAGTCCAGTTGTCAACAGATTTTCAACGGGATCTATGACACCCTAAATCGTTGAGAACCAATAGCCTAGGGCAGTCATAGTGAGAGTCTACAAGTTATCTTGGGTTCAAACCACTAGATCCTATTTTCTAGGCTCTGCCTCCCTCACAGCACACTTTATGACACTCACGGTTTAGCTGAAACCCAATACCATGGTTGGGCTGGCAGAGAAAAAAATGAAATGATTTGATTCCTTAGCTGAGATAAATGGAAACTGTGGCAGATGGTAGAAGGTGAAGGCTGTCTGAAAGATCCTGTGCTGTAAGAATAAGCTTTATTAGAGGTGGTTCTCTCTCATTATGGAGCTACTAAGAGCTGGAAGAACTGAGGTTAGTTGAACACAAAATGAGTTTTGTAGACACCAAGGCAGTACATTTCCAGTAAGCCTTCCAAACTTATGACACCCCCGCCATTGGAGGGATGACAACTTGACCCCAGGCCCTTCCTCGATTCATGACACTGTGTCAAGGTTAGAGCCAGCAGAAAGGGTCTGCAAACATGTTTAACAAGATCTGCTGGAGCCTGGATAATGGCAGGATAAGGTTTCTGGAGTGTTCCTAGTGAGGCTGGCACCATAGGACACACCTGGCCATTACTTGCTCATCATGCTGTCTTCTACTTAAGACAGCAAGCTCTCCCAGGACAAGCATGTCTTGAGGGGAAGGTCACAGCCCTGAGTCAAGCACAGACTTTGGACAGAAGTCTGACTCCCAGCTCCAGTATTTATTAGCTGTGTGCCCTTAGACAGCTTAATCTCTCTGGGTCTCTGTTCCTTCATATGAGATAAGAATACCTACACTTCATAGGCTGTTGTAATGATTAAGGGAGGAAAATTGAAAAACCAGACACCTAGCTGATACTAAGTAAACATAATGCTCACTCTTCTCTGTTCATCTTGATATCTCTTTCATGGGGCCTGACACCTGGTAGATGTTCAATAATAAGTACTGAATATATGAATGAGTGAGCAAGTGAATGAGTAAGTGAACGGAGTAAACTCAGAAAACGGCAGCTAAAAAAATGCCTCCCCAGCTTCCCACTGCATACCAGTAAGCTACACTGCTCACACCCATCTGTGTGGGTCCTCTGAATTTTTATTGTTTCCCTCTGCTACCCAATCTGGGCTATTCGGCGAGTACTACAACTACTCCTGCTCCCCTACCCAGGTGCCCCAGATGTAAAAGAAAGCCTCCTGTTCCCAAAGGAAGACCAGCTGCCCAGCTGATTGTGCATTTGTCCCTCCTCCTGTGGCCAGGGGGCTATGGTCAGGGGCATCTCCATGACCATAGCTGCCAGCAGCTGCCAGCAGTTGGCAGGCCTTGTTCCTTCTTTTCCCAACTCCTCTTCCCCCTGCCCTTATGAGACTGGGTTCTACATAAAGATCTACAGGTCAAGGTGGCATTTCTGAGAAGCATGCCTACTGAAAACACATCCTGATAGCGAGGCCACCATCTGAGATGAAGAAGCCACCACATCTACCTAGTAGGCAGCCTTCAGAGCCCTGTGGAGAGAGGTCTGGGGAGAGTAAGTGACCTGTGAGTCTTTTTCTTAGTTGGCCTTGAGTTGTCAGGCTGTAGTAAGTAGGGGGAGTTCACAGAGAAACAAAAGCTAGAGAGGTTATGTTACCCTTAACACACAGAGCTAGGTGTGAAGGCACAGGAAAGTGGTGAATACAAATCCAAGTGAGTTGGATCCTAAAATCTGCTTGCTACATGTAGAATAAATGTCCCCAGGTTGCTTAGATTCTCAGTTCCATGCTCTCTGAAACGATTTTCTCACCAACTCCCCAGCACTCATAATCCTCTCCCAGTAATCTTAGCAGAAGACCTCTAGGAGGCTGGGATATCTGGTCCCCTGCTCTTTCAGCTCCCTGGAAAAGAGGAGTCCTTGCCATGACTAGGGAGCCATGAGATTGTCTTGTCCATGGATAAATGTGCATGTGAACTCAGAACATAGCCTATATGCTAAGATTAGAATAATTTTAAGTTAGGGAGTAAAGAGATTTATGATAGCTTTATATATTTCAAAAAATCAGAAACAACCTCAAATGTTCAACCTCAGGGATGTGGTTAAATAAACCATATCTACTCAATGCATTCATTAAATATGCATTAAATATTATACAAGTATAATGCCTTGGGAAATTTTCCGGTATATTGTTAAGTGTGAAAAAGATTATAAAATAGTTATGTACAACCATGTCTCAATTGTGCATACAGTGTCTGTGTTTGTGTGTGTATAAAAACCATATATATATACATATATATATGTACACAGCAGTTATCTCTGAAAAGTTGGATTACAGATTTTGTTAATGTTTAACTTTTTTTCTATGTCAGATTTTTCTTATTTATTCTTGAAATAATTGGAAAAGAGCAAATTCCCTCTTTTGTATATTGATCCTTCATATATAGAATATCTGTAAAATATTCATACACTTAAAAAGTTTAATAATTAGGTTGTGGTTATGATAACAAGTCAAATAGCATTTTAAGAGCAACCTTATTTAAAGTTCAGGACAACTGTGTTACACAGCTGTTCACTCTGCAATGTGATCCTGTGGCAAATAAGAAATGGCTACCACTCATCACAGATGAAATTGTCTTATGACTAAAAGAACTGAAGTCCAAATGAGCTGTAAAAGAAAACTCCATTTTTCATTAGGGATAATTTTCCATGTATGCAAATAGGGTTTATCCCTTTGAAATGCAAGATATAAAAGAAGATTCAAATAAAATAAAATTCAAATAAAATCACATGTTTTTGGATTAAAAAGCTAAACATTATAGTGGATATCTGTTGAATGAATCTCTTAGTACCCCCTATGTGCCAAAGGGATTTTCAACTAGATTTTTACCTATAAAAACAAATAGATAAAAATAATTAAACTTTTTTTAAAAAAGATAAATAATGGGTTGGGCTTGCCCTACCAGATATGAAAGTATATTTTTTAAACTCAAATTATTAAAAGGTGGAGCAGACACAAGAATTAACATACAATCAATGGAGCCTGAAACATAGCCCTAATACAGATCTGGCATATTTTAAAATCTAATGGATGATAAGGAAATAATCTAAAACAATGGAGGAAAGATAAAGTAGTCAATAAATGGCACTGGAAAAACTGAATATTTGGAAAAGAAAAATCCAGTTAATCCTGACAACTTCATACCATACACCAAAATAAAATAAATTTTAGAGAGATTAGAGCCCAAACCTTTAAAATGACATTTTTTTAAAAACCTTAAGAGAAAACATGCATGGTCATTTAACTGATCCCTGAATAAGAAAGAGCTCTCAAGGCACAAAAGCATTTAAAGAAATCAGAAAAATATTGATGGTTTTGTTTCTGTAGAATTTAAACTATATGTCAGATTATAAACAAAATTTAAAAGGCAAATGACAAGCTAGGAAACGTGTATCAAATACGATAGAGAAAAAATTACTGCTCCCTATTTGAAAAATGCGCAAAGAATATAAATATACATTTCAAAAAGGAGGGAAAATGGATAATAAACATAAGAAAAAGCAGTCCACTTAATTAGTAATAAAGAAAATGCAAACTAAACAATGAGATGTTTTAAAAATCCATTAAATTTGCAAAGATTTTGAGAAGGCAATAATCATCAATGCTAGCAAGGTTCAGCATTAATTACCTCTTCCTGCCTATAACCCCATTAGTGCAAGTAAAATTGCTTCAACCTTTTCAGAAAGCAATTTGGTAATACGAATAATAATAATAATACAGTGATCTAGTGATATCCCTTCTGCATGTCTATGTGAAGGAACTAAGGAAAAAGGAGGACAGATATTTGCAAACAAGGGGTTTCATGCAATACTTTTTAATGTGGCCCCAAATTGCAAATATCCTAAGTATCCAACAGAAAGGGGATAGTTAAGATAAACTTGAAATAGGTATAAATTAAATACAAATCAGCCATTACAATTTGTATTTCTGAGTAATTTTTAATTTCATGGAAGAATGCTCGCAACATGTAAAGTAGAAATTAGGATACTAATGATACACACACTATATAGGTTAGGCTAAATCATATCAGATTGCTGAGACTCAACTTTTTTTTTTTTAACCTTCTGAAATAGTGATTTGATGTGATCCCAAATATGGACATAATGTATTTCTGGGGTGTGAGATTATGGGGATATTTCATTTTTTTTTTACACTTTTCTATAGTTTTCAAACTTTCTACAACAAATATGTATTAAAATCAATGTTGTAAAAGTATATAAAGACCATGTGAAAAAAATATCCCAAACTTAAAACTGTATGAATCCACTTCTCTGGTTTCTCTTTTCTAGATTTTTATAATCCTCTGCCGCTTTGGTCTCTTAAATGCCCATGCCTTGCCTCATTTTTGTCTGTTATTCTATTTATTTGCATGTTCTGAATTTGCTGTTTGAGGTTAATCCCCAGAATAAGAAAGAGAACTCTAGAAAGGCTCTGACCTCAGCTGTCAATCCCTCTTCCTCCAGGAAGCCTTCCCAAAAAGGCACAAGAGTCATGCAGTTTCTATCCCCAGAGATGGCCCTATGCTTTTCAGTCAATAGAGGTACCACAGAAGGGGAAGCAAGTAGCCTCCTCTCCACTTGTGTTGCCACCACTCCTCTAAAATCGAGAGGCAGAAGAGAGCCCCGAGAAGCACTGGGAAAGGACATGTCACCAAGAGGTATGAGTCCTCATCATGCAGCGATGAAGACTCCAACAAACATCCAACTAGAATATAAAGCACAATGAGACACTAGGCTGGGGTAACTGGGATTACTTCTCACCAGTGTGCTGTTGGAGGGAGGCTGCTGCTGCCCTCTCCTAAGCCCATGGGCCTGTACCTTTTACCTGTGAGCCCACCATAGGGCCACTGAATTCACTGATACAATTAATGTGTAGAGCTAATAAGATCCCCAATGAACATTCTGTTTCTTTTCTACAGGCTATGGACATATTTCTGTATTTGTTCACATATTGTACTATAAAATGATTCATATTACTATTTCAATTTTGAGTCATTTTTCTTATAGCAATAAAGTTATCTCTTGCTTTAAAATGCCCTAATCAACATCTGGAAGGTTCATCAATGTCCACCTCAAAAAAGTGTAACTTAGCATCACTATTCCTTAGTTTTTCCATCTGCAAAATGTAAGTAACATCTCATAAGGCTATTATGAGAATTAGCTGAGACTATGTGTGTGCCTTGTGACTGGTAGATGTCCAGTAAGTGCTAGGTGATGGAGTGAATGAATCAATGAAGTGTCTGAACTGTGTGATTGATTTGCCACTGGGCTCAGCTGTACAAACCTGGGAACAGCCAAACTGCAGAAACCATTCACAATTCAAGACACAATTATCCACATGCTGTCAGCTCCTGAAATTGTAGACATAATAACTTAGAGGAAATGTGCTGCCTCCAGAGAGCATGCTTTGCAAATTCAGACTACAGCAAAGGTGAGAACATTATAGTTCCCACAGGAAAAAAAATTATTCCCTTCAACTCTAAAATTTTAGAATTCTGCGTTTGTGCAAATGGAAGCAGTAGTCAAAATCTATTAATTTCCAGCTTTGTGGCTGTAGGATTAAAATCTTTCCATCAAAATCTATATGTAAATTTGGAAGCATTCACCATCCAACTGGGGCCCAGGCATCTACAGAGCAACTGAGTCATGGTTGTGGGATTGTTCCATGCCAATAACATTGCTGATGGGGGAAAGAACACTGGACTAGGAATCCGAAGACCTCAGTTCCCTTTGTGTTTTTTTCTTCTTTCTCCCCTTTCTGGCCTCCATTTTCAAAACCAGTAAAATAAACGAGCCAGATAAGATGACGGCTGAGGTTGTCACTTCCCCAGCTGTTCCATTGCCTAAATCTGCTTTGCTGTAGAAGAGATAATGGCCTGCAAAAAGTTGAAGAAAGGAGCATCCCAGAGGAGAAATGAGAACCTTAGGGATAAGAACCATGCTGGGGAAATACCATATTTAGTGAATTGCAAAATGTATCATTAGTTTATGTGCCATTAAAAAAGAAAAAACTGCTGCCAATTAAACTATTACACACCATAAGCTATAAGATGCATCCTGATTTCAGAGATGGCAAAATGTAGAAGGAAAAAGAGCATCTTAGAATCAATAAATATGGGAACTAGTATTTACTGAGTATTTGTTATATTCTAGGCACTGAGCTAAGTGCTTTATACATATTATTTCATTTAACTCTAAAACAACCCTGTGAAATAAATGCAAGTATAGGAAAGACTAGCATTTTATAGAGGAAAAACTGAGATACAGAGAGCGTTTACATAATCTGCTTAAGGTCATTTAACTAGTACAGAGAAGAGGTAAGATTTGAACCTACAACTCTTTCACTCCAAACTCCATCTTCTTAACCCTTTACTCTCTGAAGAAACACTGGAGCATCTGATACCAAATGAAAATGAGTTATTTCATGGTGGTAAGACTGAAACATTAAAACTGTCAGAACATATTAAAGGAACTTATTAGGATGAAATACTTTGAACTAAAGGGAACCCTGGAGATGATGTAATACAAGCATATACTTTATAGACAAGGAAACTGAAGCCCAGAGGGATGATGTGATTTGCCCAAGGTGGCATAGCCAGTTAGTGCAAAAGTTAAGATTCTAGAATTTTGCTAGGTCATGAGATCAAGTTTGCAAGTCTAGAATTTTCAGATTCTATTCATTCCTTTCTTTTCAAGTTCTAGGCATTTTCCTATCTCTACCCTATAATTTCTTAGTGGTTTCTCTAAAACCACATAGGCAAATTCCTTTAGCATTTCAGGATACAGTTCCTTCAGGCCTGAGATGCAGAGCTACTCTCAGAGAGGTCAGGGTGGGTGGACACAACAGTTAGACATGGATTTTTTTTTTTTTTTTTTTTTTTTTGAGACAGAGTGAGTCTTGCTCTGTTGCCCAGGCTAGAGTGCAGTGGCGAGATCTCGGCTTCAAGCAATTCTCATGCCTCAGCCTCCCCAGTCCCACTAGCTGGGATCATAGGCACACACCACCACCACCCAGCTGATTTTTTGTATTTTTAATAGAGATGGGGTTTTGCCATGTTGCCCAGGCTGGTCTCTAACTCCTGAGCTCAGACAATCTGCCCACCTTGGCCTCCCAAAGTGCTGGGATTACAGGTGTGAGCCACTGCACCTGGCCCAGACATGAGTTCTAATCTCTCTAGTTCTGAGAACCCAGCATGCTTAATTTCTCAGTTCCTTGTGGACTCATAAGTAAAATAAGGCTAATAACACCAAACTCATAGAGAGACAATGTACATAAAGTCCCTATAAATAATCAATTGCAGCTATTATAGCCATGACTGTTGAAGGAGTTTAGGGCTTTTACTATCCCCTTATTTTTCTTAACTATTGGTTATGATGATGATGATGATGATTATTATTATTATTATTATTGAGACAGAGTCTCACTCTGTCACCCAGGCTGGAGTGCACTGATGTGATCATGGCTCACTGCAGCCTTGATCTCCTGGTCTCAAGCAATCCTCCCACATCAACCTCCCGAGTAGCTGGTACTACAGGCATGTACCACCACACCCAACTAATTTTTTAAATTTTTTATAGAGATGGGACCTCCCTATGTTGCCCAGATTGGTTTTGAATTCCTGCATTCAAGTGATCATCCTGCTACAGCCTCCCAAAGTGCTTAGATTACATGCATGAGCCACTGTACCTGGCTGGCTCTTGGTTCTATATGAATTAATCTATTTTGCATTTTCTAATCTGAAGTGCATTTTCTTGGCTGGAGACAGTGGAAGCAGGAGAACAGGGCTTCTTCATCTCCCTCTGTAACAGACCATCTTCCCCAAGCAGAGAGCTAAAACCCTGCTCTATCACAACTGTTCACAAGCTCACTTTAATTGCTAGGTTTAGTTGAGCTATCTGCCCTTCCTTTAACTTTGTTATATACAAAAAAGTATATACAAGCTCTTTAAAAATCAAGATTCTTGAAGAAGTCCCTTTCCTTTCATAATTCATCCTGCTTGTCTTAAAGGGAAGGCCAATCTCTTTCCAAGGCATGGGCAGCCCTCCAGACTTACAGCATTTGAAGCTCAAGGTCAAAGCAATTTATGTTCAACCTTCCAGCCATTAGAGGCTGAGTGCCAGTACAGGAAAAGCCCCTTCCTACCATTTTAGGGACCTTTGTGCTTCTAGTTACATATGTGCGTGTTAGAAGACAATGTGTAATAATAACGCTGCAGGCTGCCAGGAGAAAGCGCAGGTCCTCAAGCGGTGAGGTGGAAAGTACCAAAGAAGCTGCATGGCCAGGATGTGGGCTGACTTAGTAGTTCTACTTTCCATTTTAAGGACACTGAACTGGGGGGGAAAGCGTGTACCCAGTCTCACTGTTAACAATGTCTGTGGAAAGCCCAGCTGGTAAAGCCAGCAGGCAGACCAAGTTACCCCTGCCCCACTGGTGATCACTTACCTCACAGAACACAATCAAGCATCACATGAGCCCACTTTTCAGCTCCTGCCTTCCCAAGGCCTGCTTACTGTTGTTTTGTTCTTGCTGCTTTCGTGGGACTTTGTGGTAGATGCTTGCTACCATTTATTAAGGGTTACTTCCTAAGTGCAGGCTCCTAAGTGCTTTGCATATCTATATTGCTTAATTCTCTCAATTACCCTAAGGGGTACATATTGTTTCCCACATTTTATGGATGAAAAACTGAGGATCAGAGAAAGCAAATAATGCACCCAAGGTCATAGAGCTAGGAAAGGATAAAGTCAGGATTTGAATATGGGTCTATCCTATTCCAAAGCCTGTGCATGAAGCCTCATACATATAGATCTGTCTCATCTAGCTCCCAAGTCACCCTGGATAGGACATATCCAGAACTTCAATCTCTTTAGGGTTAGGACATAGCCATGTTTGGTGCAGCCTCAAACACGCTGTTTGATGTGCCTGGGATGAATCCCCAGCCCCCGAGTTTCGGGACAGTTACAAGACAGAGAGTTACAGGACAGAGGTTTCTACCTCAGTTTCCTGCTGAGCCCTATAATTAGCAACTTACAGCTAGCACTGTGCTCTGAAACCCCACCTGTCTATTTAGGGCCTTGCCCATCCCTTGCCATACCCCTTTCCTGGCAGGGGAAGGAGGGAAGGATGTCTATGTGCCGCTAGTCACTGCCTGGGGGCCTGCCAGGAATGGAGTGATGGCCCAGTAATGTGGAACCACAGACTAGCCTGATCCCGAATGTCTCCCCCAACTTGCAAACTCTGGTGACTCTCCCTTGCAGGACTCCTCACCTTGGATGATGATGCTGACCTGAGGGAAACTTCTTGTTTGTTGTGATGTTCCAGTGGATCCCATGTATTTCACTGCTGCTGCTTGCCTCTTCCAGCTAGCCCAATAGTCCCTTCACTCTCAGCCAGACATTCTACCAACCCCTTGGAAAGTGCCAACGCCAATGTTCTGAGGTGGGAAATCAGTCTTCTTCATGTAGGCAAGTGACAAAAACAATCCACAGAAGACTGTCTGAGGCATTTTAGACAATAATAAGTGACTAAATGGAAATGAAGAGTCCCATGAAATTCCCCATCCCATTGACTGTTAATGATGTGGTAATTATAAACACAACAGCAAATATTATTACCAATTTCAAGTGTTGACTAAAACCAGCTGGTACACTCAGCAAAGCACTCTAGTCCTGGAAAGTCCTGGAAACTCATGTAATGCTATAAGTCTAACTTAGATGAAATCTTAGTCTAACTGTGGGAATGAAGCTGTATTTCTCAACATGCAACACTACCCAGAAAACCCTATGCAATAAGCACAAGAAGTCGTCTCTGGTGACCTGGACTGACCTATATCCATAGTGGTGACTATTTCCACCAATCCATATAAGGTTGGTACAGAGATTGGCCAGATGCTTACCAAGCTCATTCTCTCTTCTGAAGCACACGACTGTTACATTTCCCAACCGCCCTTGCAGTTAGGAACAGTTGTATGACTGAGCTCTGGTCAATGGAAGGTGAGCAGAAGTATCATATGCCACTTCCAGGACTGGCTCATAAAATCATCCCACATGTATGTCCTCCACATTCTCTCTTCTCATCTATCCTCGGATGGCTGGGTGCAAAGTGTTCAGTGGAGGACTCTGAGGCCCTATGAGCAAAGCTACTGAATAGAAAGGGTAAGTCCTGGGTTGTCATCAACCAGGAACATCTGTAGGAGACTATGACAAGAGCAAGAAATAATCTTCTATTACGTGATCTCTGATACTTACTGGTTATTACAGCCATCAACCTATGCTGACCAATAAGCAGGGAACACTCTCTTATTAATATCAGGGTGGCAAACTGTGGAGACTGAAGAAATTGCTTTCTATCTCTACCTCAAAATCTTATGTCAGGTGTTAATGTATTTTATAAAGAATACACATGGTTTCTTTAAAAGCAACAAGAATATGTCAGTGATCTAGGTACAAAAACGGCAGGAGAACTCAAAGAGAAACAGAATAATGAGCACAGGGGAGGGGAAAACTTGGAAGAATTTAGATACCAGCTGCCAGGGATTTGACAGGTCCTCCATTCTTCTCCCTAAGAGTTCCTCCACTCTCACACCTCTTACAAACACACGTGAAAGTATCAGGTAAATTTTAGAGAGCGATATGAACATAAGGTACTATACTGTTATTGTTCTGATTCCCAAATCTAAATATTTGACCTTGTTTTTCAACCAGTTGCATCTCCAACCTCCAGTAGGTGTTTCCATTAAATGGTACCCAAAGTTCAAAACTCTCCCGCTATCTTCTACTCTGTGTCTCTAGCATTTCAGGGAGGGGAAGAATCATTTGCTTCATACCATATGCCAGGCCCATTATAGTAACTGCCTCATTAAATCCTCTCATATTATTTCATGAGATAGATATTATTGTCTGCATTTCATAGATGTGAAAACTGAGGCTCATAGAAGTCAAATGATTTGCCCAAGGTCACACGACTGTCAAGTAGGAGCTGCGAGAGCGATTTTCATTTGTGTAAAATATCACACCTGATTGGAGTGCTCCCTAAAACAGTTATCTACACCTGGTGGTGTGCTAGAGCCTGCTTGTTCTGGTTTCTGAGAACTAATTGTAATTTTCAGAATTTTTGCCAGCTCGTTGTTAAACAGGTTGGTAGCTTGAAATCTGCTATGATAGGAGTATTTACACAATAGAAATCAGCAAATGTTACAAACACCACAACCAGGGCTTTTATTCTTCCCTGGAAACATTGCCAGCACGTCACTGACTATGCCTTCCTATTTGGACCAGTATGGCAAGGCAACACTATGTCCTGACGCTGTTTTGTTGGAATTTCAGGACCAATAATAAGGAAATAATTCCTGGATTGCAGACTTTGCAAACAAAAACTTGAAACAGTAAAAGCAAATGTTACAAAGACACAAGGGAATGAGGAAGAAGTATGTCTCCCTTAACACAGCTCAACCTTCTGACAGTTCCATGAGGAGTTCTCCTAATAAGCTGATAAGAAATAATTTGGAAAGAAAATACTAGTTTTAGGTGGGGAGGCAGTTAAATTCTGGAGCAGTGCGGAGGACAGCTTTGGAAAGAAAGACCTTAGAGATTTAGTTTTTAAACTAAGAGATGGGGGAGGCATCACAGGTCCCTTGAGGTAAATTCTAAAACAGGGATTATTTTAAAAAAAGAAAAACGTGCAGTTAGCACATTAATGCAGCAGCACAGATAATCCAAAGCTGAAGATAAAATCACATGATGAATTCCAAAGCCAAAGATAAATGACTGGAATTTTTTTCTTTGATCTACACAACATTTAACTTCTTGAATCAAAGTGCATCTTAATTAGATGAGTATGCACCAATCCAATATCTGGAGAAAGGAGCATAGAAGCTTATGGAGTGGTTACAGGCAGTAAGCCTGCATTCATTTCTTTTTCTTTTAAAGTAAACACTCCACATGTGGAGAATAATCCCCATGTGAAAAATAAAGAAATTAGTGTTTTAATTTGTAGCCCACAGCAGTTTGTTCCTAAACCTGGCTGATCATCCCATTTGGTTTAGAAGATTTTTAAAAGTAGAAAATTTGGTATCTACATTTATATTTAGATTCAATGAGTCTAAAGAATTGTGTTTGCCAGAGCTGAACAGACTCATAAAAGCATAATGAACAGACTCATAAAAGCATAAGAGCAAAACAATAATTGTGGCAATTAAAGGGTCCTATGAAGAAACCTATGTAAGGTTGACTGGCCAGAGAACAGAAAAATACTTAGAACAGAGATCTACAGGGGATTCCCATTTTTGAAGAGGTTGCAATTACAGTGGCCCTTCAGTATACACAGAAGTTTGGTTCCAGGACCTCCGCGTATACCAAAACCCAAGAATACATACTCATGTCCTGCAGTTGAGGACCCTATGGAACTCACATATTTGAAAAGACAGCCCTCCATATACAAGAGCTTCACATCCTGCAAATATTGTATTTTCAATTTGCATTTGGTTGAAAAAATCCATGTATAAGTGGACCCACGCAATTCAAACCCGTGTTGCTCACATAGATCTAGCAGGACTCTGAGTGTAAGGTAGAAAGGCTAATTGCCATTTGTTAGCTACCTTTGGAGGGCAATTACTTAATGTCTCTGAGTCTCAGAATCCTCAACTGTAAAATGGGAAGACTCCTGAATTGGTAGGTTACTGGAAGACAGAAAGCACCTATCACAATTCCTGGCATAGAGGAGGTCAGTGTTAGTTATTGCCCTATTATTATTATTTTTCTTTATCACTCGGCTTTGGGAACATTATTCCAAGCAATACGTATAAAGCCATGGAAGCTGCTGCCTGGGTCCCTCCAACCTCTCTCTTCCAGCAGCAGCCCATGGCAGGCTCCAGCAGTCCCCTGAGGACAATAGAAGATGCTAATCACAGCACCAGTAGTCAGAAAACAAGATATCAGCTTTAGCCTGGCTCTGCCCTCAACTCACTACATGACCTGAAACCCAGCCTCCTGGTTCCCTTGGTCTTAATTTCCATCCCCACCAAATGGGCACAATCAAATAGAACCTGTCTTGGTCAGAAGTGCTAATGAAGAGCCCAGGAGAATGGGTTAATGAGAAGGCTGACTCTCAGCTCAGGGATAACGAGCCAGACTATCACTGTCCCTGGGAGCTTTCCCTCCCTGGTCAGGGAGAATGTTGGCACCCCAAACTGCTGCACTGAGTTTCAGCTAATTGGAAGCTTGATGACCGATGACACCAGGTTTCTGGGAAACAAATGATCTCTCTATCCTCAAAGTTCTGCAGTGAGGAGGAAGGAGGAGTGGGAACTTCCCCAGAGTACTGCAACCAAGGTTCCTGGGGGCAGCACATAAAACATTAATGGAACTTGAGCAACCACCAGAACTGTCAGGGAGGAAAGGAAACAAGAAAGCTGCGAGTGGAGAGTGCTGACGGCCCAGCCTGCCAGCTGGCACGACACACTGCAAATGAGATGCAGACAGCCAGAAGGGCAGCAGGATAGCCTCAGAGGACCACAGCAGCATTGAGAGCTCCAGAGACTCTAGAAGATTCTCAGGAATTAAGGGAATCACATTTTGTACTCTCCAGAGGGGAAGAGGTGTGTCTTGAAGAAAAGGTGATGAAGCAAAAGTATGGTGGAAGGGCCCCCATTGTATCTGTTGTAAGAAATAATCACAGAAGGGACAAGCAAATACCACAAATGGAGCAGGCAGGCTGGAAGGGTGGATAGAGAGCCCCACAGAAGGTGAAGGAAAAGAGACCAGGAGGAGGAGGAGGAGGGAGGGTTCAAAGAAAATTAGGTTACCCGACTTCTCATTAAAAAACTAGGGTAGGCTGCACGGTGGCTCAAACCTGTAATCCCAGCACTTTGGGAGGCCTAGCCAGGCAGATCACTTGAGCCCATGAGTTTGAGACCAGCCTGGGCAATGTGGTGAAACACCCATTTCTACAAAGAATACAAAAATTAGCTGGGCATGGTGGCACGCACCTATAGTCCCAGCTACTTGGGAGGGTGAGGTGGGAAAATCGCTTGAGCCTGGGAGGTTGAGGCTGCAGTGACCTGTGATCGCACCACTGCAATCCAGCCTTGGTGACACAGTGAGACCCAGTCTCAAAAAAACAAAACAAACAAAAAAACTAAAGTGAAGTGGCTGCCACTTCTCTACACAAAGAGGGAACTTTCCAGATCTTCATGCTGATGTTTTTCCTAATGTAAAATTTCCAAATCACTTCCATGTAGATGAAACATGCCAAGCACATAAAATTTCATACTTGCAACCTGAGCTAGCTCTGAAGCTGCTGTGCTTTCCCCTGCAAGTGAAGGGAGGTAGGAGACAGGAAGAAGTGGGACTGATTAGATGTGACAAGAAGTGCTTCCCACTCCGCCCCAGCATCTGGCCCAGCCTGGCCCCATCACAGGGCTCCAGCTGGCCCCAGACTGCTGAGTGCATGAGCCTCGTTTTCAGCAGCTGCTGGTCAGGGCTCCAAGGGCCAAACCTAGCTAGAGACATAGATGTGGCCCAAGTAAAAGCCACTTCTCCCCCAAGACAGGAACCACTCCCTTAGCTGCATTTATAGACTTAATTTATAAGTCCTCAAAAGTTAAACATTCTCAAAAAGCAAACACTCCCAGGTCTATCACTTGTTTATGCTCAGTGTCCTCCATTAGATTAGGAGCACCCAGGGGGAGGTCTACACATCTGCCTTCCCACAAGGAGCTCTAGGAGGATGGAGATCACATCCATCAACCTGTACAGACCACAGCATAGCCACCATACACCAAGACTTTATAAATGTTTTTTGACGAGAACAGCATTTTAAATCCTTTTTTTTTCCAAAGGATTCTATTTCAGGAAGGGAAAATTTCTGAATACTAGTGATGTTTTCTTATTTCCTAAAAAAGAAAACACACACAAAGCTCCAGTCCTCCAGGGGAAGTGCCAAGACACTGGAGTGACCAGGAGCTAAGCCAGATGGAGTCAAGGACAGCCATTGTTCCTCCTGCAAGGAAGGGATGGCCTGCACCATGCAGCATCTCCACCAGCTTCTGAGCCCAAGTTCAGCCGGGACTTCCCAGACTTCAGAATCCTACATTAGGATTTGGCAGAGAGTCACGGAAAGCTCTACCATAATGGCTTAAACAAGTAAGGTGCTTATTTGTCTTAAGTAAGAGGTTGGACCTGGCATTCCAGAGCTGCCTCAATGGTGGCTGTTGTCTTATACGTGGCCTTTGTCTCTTGGTCACAAGATGGCTGCAGAATCTCCTGGCATCATATCCCCATTCTAGGGAGGAAGGAGGGTGAAAAGCAAATAGCTTTTTCTTTGGATGGCTTTACCTTTATTTAGGAAGAGAAGATCACCCATTGGCTTGTGCCTGTATATCAATAGTCAAAATTGTGTCACATCTTCCTTAGTGCCAAGGGAAGCTGGGAAGTTAAGTATTTCACTCTCTATCCTTGATAATAAAGGAAGGAAAGAGGTTTTTGGAATAGATATTAAGTACACTAACCTGCATTATCTATGCCATACATACGGATTCACAAATCAAAAGGACACTTACACCACCCTCCCAAGAGGGATGGTGTAGGGTGGCTCTTAATTTCTGCTCTCTCAATGTGAAAAGCTGTGAAAAAAATATACCCCAGACTTAGAAAAGCCTCTCAGGCTCCCAGATGTAACCCCTCCCATGTAACATGCTGAGTCACTTTTGCATGCATTCTCTCATGCATTGTTCACCACAATTCTCTAAGGCATGAACTACAGAATGAAAGTTTCTGTCCCCCTGCCCCAAATTTATATGTTGAAATTCTAAGTACGACGTGATGGTATTTAAAGATAGGCCTTTGGGAGATAATTAGGTCCTAAGGGCAAAGCCCTCATGAATGGGACTAGTGTTCTTTAAAAAAGACCCCAGAGAGCCCATTTGCCCCTGCTGCCATGACACACAGAAGGCATTATTCATGAGGAACATGCCCTCGCCAGACACTGAATCTGCAGGCACCTTGATCCTGGATTTCCCAGCCTTCAGAACTATGAGAAATAAAGGTTTGTTGTTTGTAAGCCACCCAGTTTATGGTATTTTGTTATAACAGCCCAAATGAACTAAGACAGCAGAGACGATTTATTCCACATTTATAAGTTGAGGGAGAGGCTCAGAAAGAAGTTACTTACCAAATATTCCACGGCTTACTAGTGGTAGCACCAGGTTAGGAACCCAGTTTTCTACTGTCAACCCAGTACTTTTTTCATTACACCACTGACCATCTTCTCACACTGCATACCTGAGTTTTGCAGCCACTGCTGCAGCCACCCACCTTCCTGTTTATGATGCTAGTTTCCCATTTCAAAATTTAGACATATGCAGAAGAGGATCGGTCATGGGGAATCTGGCAAATACCAGAGAAGGTTGAAAAACCTTTTCAGGAACCTCTTACTCTTGCCAAAAGAACATGCATCTTGGTAGGATGCTCTATCAAAACTCACCCACAAGAGGTACTAAAAAACCAAATCCAATAATAGATGATGCCTTCCAGTGGCCATCTTGTCTATCTTGCCTCACTCCACCCACCTCAAACAGCTGAAACAGATCTTGACATTCTCTAAAGCTTCTACAATTACCCATCTGATGTGTGTTGCTGTACAGGCTCATATTGCTCAGGCTAGCCACATACCCCTCCAATGGAGCACTTAGATCGCTGCATGGTAATTGCCCGGCCACTGTTCTGACTTCTGCACAAGATCCTTTACTCTTTAAGAAAAAAGGATTGCATCTAATTCAGTATTATTTTCTCAGCATTTAGCATGGTGATTGGCATATGTAACTTCTTAATAAAAATTATTTGAATAAATGAATGCAAAACATCAATCCTTCTTGTTACATTTCTTTTTTCCCTCTCCAGAGTATAAAAGGAAACTAGCTTGTCACTCTCCTGTGGGTGCCCAATTTAGGACTCCACAGATCCCAGGGAGGACAAAATGTGGGCTGTTCAACACAAATCCAGAAACTCTTTAGGATGCAAGAGTCCAAGGAGCCAGAGGTCTAAGGCATTGGGAAAGATCTTTCTGCATTTCTGGGGTGGTGTGGAGTGTGTGAGAAGTTGAGGAGAATGGGCTCTGGAGCCCTGGCAGGGAGAATTCTTGGTGCAAATAAAGCAGAGGAAAGGGAAATGGGAAGAAGCCTAGACTGGAAGCAGCAAGAGTGAATGTCAGGCATGCACTGCAGTATCAATGCTCCAACCTGTGTCTCCCACTCAGGAACTCAGTTCAGCAGTGAAACAGGCAGCCTGGCCTCGGCTTCAAAGTCTCCCTATCTCTAGCCTTTCAGGCCTTTCCTTAGCCTCCTTAGGTCTGCAGCATGCCTTACTTTGATCCCTGGTACCTGTCCCATCCTTGCTCCTGACTCTCTCCTAGCACTGACCGATCACACAATCTGGGCCTCTGGCTTCCTGGTACTTCCAGATTCTGGCTGAGGCCCCATGATCCATTCCCAGCCTCTGCTCTGGATCCCTCATTCCTGCCCAGTATAGTCCGCAGCCACTGTTGATGGAAGAAAACAATGCAGGAGCCAAAGGAGCTTCTAGAGCAGCGATTCCTAACCTCTCTAGAGTCAGTGACCCCTTTCAGAATCTGATGAAAGCCACAGACTTTTGTCTTCGTAAATTGCATGTATACATACATGCACAAAATTTCCATGCAATTATAGGAGCTGAATGGACCTCCAAAAAAGCTCACTCATGAACCCAGAATAAGAACTCCTTATCAAGAGGATGTCATGAACTTTTGTTTGAGGGATGTTGCCCTCCCTGGGAGAAGCCCCTGGTAGCTCAGCCAGGCAGCTCCCAGCTTATCCTCCCCTCAGGGAAGCATTTGCAACAGTGAGAACACAAATTGTCTCTTTGAGCCCTCCCACCTCAGAAGCCTTTAATGAAAACAATATTGAGCACTTACTGTGCGGCAAGCTGTGGAAAGGCAAAGGACTTGACACGCATTTTCTGGAAATCTAATACAATAAACTTAAGTTGCTATTATCCCAATTTCAGATGAGAAAAATCAGGCTTAAAGAAGTTAAGAAACTTGACTGTGTTGCACAAATCATGAGTTATGGAGTGCAGAATCAAACCCAGTGTTGTCCAAGGTCCATGTCTGCTTTTCTCAGCACCACACTCCAGAGACTTCCCAAGGTTAGATGACCTCTAGGAGTAAGCAAGGGAAAGTTCCTCTTGCCATCCAAAATCTACCCTTCTTTCCCCATTTAGCACGAAGCTTTTAATTCCTCGATCAGAAATCTAGCTAAAAAGAGAAGTAATACCTCATTGTTATATGTCTGTCTCTCTGGGTCTGTATAAATGTGGTATTGTTTTTTAAAAATCATACAGTGCCTGGAGAATTGCATATGGGTCCAGAGAATGAATCCATGGAAGTCATTTGAATCACTAAGTGTGCACCATAAGAGAGCTGTGGGTAGCATTCTGGTGGAAACCATCGGAGAGCAGCTGAAGGTGGGGACAGAAAAGAACATGCAGGGGGCATGTTTGGAGATATGACGAGGACAATTACCTGGCAGATAGAAGGAACATTTCTAGATGAACTGCATTGCAAGAAAAACAGATAGGAAGGCTCCTGATAAATCCCTCCCTATGCACAGCAGTATAGGGTCTGTGGTCAGGGCAGAGGACAAGCCCTGCCTGTCACGTCCCTGCTAAAGGGCTGGAGCAAGTGGCAGCCCCTTGGAAACAGCATTAGAATGGTCTATCTTTACAAGATGTCCACAAGAGACACTGAGGTTGGGCTGGAGGGTGAACCAGGCAGAGAACGTGTGGGAAAGTTCTTGCCCACAACCGGAAAAGTGTTCTAGCTAGAAGGATCAAGGCTGAGGATGAAGGCAAGATGTGGTTTGGTAGAATCTGGGATCTACGAGACAAGATAAAATGAAAACAGGATAAACTAAGAAGAAGGAGAAGACTGTGTTCTGGGTGTTTGTTTATAAGTAGCACACAAGGCTTGCTTCCAGAGGCCAGAAGCAAGGGCTTGATTAGCAAGAGGGCTGCTCTTGAATAATGCACCTGCAGAAAGTAAGCATCTTCTCCCCAGCATCATGGATGTTCAGGAAACCAAATAAAAACTTACAATATAGAATACAGAGACAAAGTTTAACATGCTAGGAGTCTGGAGTTACCATGTTATTCAAAGACAGAATTATATAAGGCAAATCTAGTCAAGAAAATCATTATGGATGTATGCAAAGGGTAAACGACAGGGTTTGCAATCTTTTTAAATGAAAAAAAAATCCAAAATGTCCAACACTAAGAGAGTAGTGAAATAAATGATGGTAGCATAGCATAATTGTTGGGTGTGTAGGGTCTGAAATCAGAATGCTTAGGTTAAATCCCAACTCTACCACTCAAGAATTGTGTGACTTTTAGAAAATTACTTAAATTATTTAAGCCTCCATTTCCTCATCTGTAAATGAGCATAATGATAGCACCTGCCTCCTAGTATTATTACTTAGTACAGGGCTTGATATATTCCTAGATAACTGTAGAACAAGAAATCACTCAATAAACATTCGCTATTAGTAGTACTGCCATTATCAAGATGCAGCCATAAGACAGAATACTATTGTGTCATTAAAAGTAATTTCCAGAAATGTAACAACATTGAAAGATGTTCATGAACAATGTGTTTAGGTTTTAAAAAGGTTATAAAGTGTGTACGCTTTATTTTTGTCATATATATGTGTGTATGTATTTAGATGATCAAGAAAACAAAATGAAGATTTAGAAATAAGTAGCCAAGAAGAATAGGAAACTACTTTTGCCCTCAGAAATGAAGAAAAGAAAGACCAACTTCAATGCAGCCAAAAAAAGCTCTAAGGGAAATGTGTTCCTGAGGAATTTCTTTGATATGAGCTTATAAAAAATTCCTGGCTGTCACTGCTGCCCCTCCTCCACCCTGCCCTTCTCTCTTCTTCTGTCTGTGATCCAGGATCTGAGCCTCTCCAATCTAGGAAATGGCAGCAGCAGTCCCCATTATTATTATATTATCTGTAATAACAGCAGTAAGACTTCTCATGGGAAGAGCACCTCACTTTTTTTCAGAGCCCTCACATACCCAACTGGCCTTTAAAACAACCTCAGCAGTGAACCTGAAAAAGACCCCACCTGCAGCTTGTCTGAGACTAAGATAGACAACCTAATAAGGGCCAGGAATTAAATGATAAATCAGGGATGCTTGCTTTGGCCACAATAATCAGAGGGGATCATGTACATTGTGCAAACATCACTGAGGGGCAATTCTAGGGGTTCTCAATTAAGACAAGTGGGGTCACGGAAAACACCCTAATCCTTTCCCATTTATTCCCATTATTCAGAGTGGACAGTTGGGGAAAGAGTTCCAAGCCCTGAGGACAAAGTCGGTGATGAAAGATCCCTGGTGTTCCCCCTTTCCCTCTGTGAATTTCTTCCTTCTCCCAAAGCAAAAGAGCGCTTTTGACAAGAACCAAAACAATTATAGAAGTGCACTAGAGTGCAGGTGAGTTTGATGCAAGCGTCTGAAATTAGATTTCTGGCAGGTAGGCAGGCCTTTGCAGACTTCAGCAGCTGTCCTTTTGTGCAGAAACATGGACAAAGCACCCCATGTTCAGCTGCTAAACTCAGCTCCTCATTGTTATCCAAACAATGGAGTCAAGAGGTAGATGAGAGTGGAAGCAAAGATAGGCTCTTGTGGAGCCAATTCTATGCCCATAGAATCCAGGGGCATGGTTCAGTGAGGTTCTCTATTTCAAGACCTTCCCCTTTTAGGGCAGGTTGGATAAGACAGGTGATTCTACATGGCCCTTGAGGAGGAGGGGAAAAAGATTTCTTCCCTCCTCTCACCCTGACAGCACACGGGAGCCTCAGGACGAAGTGCCACAAATGTGGACATGCTTTATTATGGCTCTTAGAAAGTCAGACCCAGCTCCTCAGGACCCTTTCCCCACCAGTAACAAAGTACTTGTACATGCTCCATCCTTTGATCCTTCCAACACAGGAGCTGGCAACCTATCAGTTTAGCAAAGGCAGCATCCCAAGAGGTAGGTCTCATAGGAGGTCTTAAGAAAGGTAAGTTCATCTGTGGAAGGAGGAATGAGGCCTTGTGAGGTCTGGCAAGCCCCCATCAGCTTGGCTAACCTCCAGGAGAGAAGTTCATTAATGAGGGGCTATAGTAAAAATGTCTTTGCACCCTCTGAAAGAGTGTATGTGGTTTCTCCCTCTTCATTACTTCTTTTCCCCAAATCTCTGCTAGTAGTAATAAGCCAACTTTGCAAACAGATTCCAAAGGTATTTGGGGCCACAGACACTTGTACCAGGCCTATAATATTTGCAACAATTACATATAAATGTTCTCATACTTGTCATTCTCCCATCCCCCCTATACCTACCATCACTGCCTTCTCTTCCTAAAACTCAGGTCTACCAGCTCAGAGTCCTCAAATAGGTGTCCTTAGCAAACATACTTCATTTCTCCTCAGCATGCAACCCTTTTCTCATGGAACAGCAGATAAGGGCCCACCCAGAAAGGGAACAGGGCCAAGCTGAAATCTGAGAAACCACACGGATCCAAGGGCTCTGGCAGTACCTGGCATACAAGGAGCACTGGGAGAGGGCTCAGTGCCCTTGGGTTGAGCTGCACCAGGAGATACACCTTCAAATACTAACTCAGATACTAACTTCCCCTGTCTTAGTAGGGCAAGCCATTTATGCTTTCAGTAACATGAAAATGGAGTTTTAGCTATAGTTAATAATCCATAGCAAGTGTTTACATGGAAGTTATTCATTTCCATCCTCACCTGGGGGAATGTTTAATCCTTGTAGGAAGAAATAAGATTGAACTCTTCTGACTACAGAATTTCATTCCATGCAGTAGGTAGTTCTATCACTACCACCAAGAAACTGAAGCCTCGGGAGGCTCGTAACTTGTCTATCATCACAGAACTAGTAAAGATGACAGAGCCAGAACTAAGACCCAGGTATGCTTGACACCAAAGCCTCCTAACCCTGGAGTTCCTTCCGTCTCCTCCAGACCTACCAGAATCCTGCCCATGGTTCACTCACTATTCAGATCATGTCACAGGAAGAGACTTTTGGGGACAAGTCCAGCCCACATCGATCGCTCCCTCTTCTGCTCTTTTATTATACTCATTGTCTGGAGCACTCCACCTAGCAACTAATTTTTTGGAAACCTTCTCTTGCTCTCTAATTGCTTCATAGGTGTTCTCTTGGCTTCCTAACCAGTCTCTGTCCCCAGATGGTTTCTTCCCTCAGTTCTCCCACCATACCAGGGTTACTGTAAGCACTCAGTGAATATCTGTTGAGCAACTAGTTTGAGAGATACAGATGCAAAGCCTAGTTGGAACACTCTTTTTGGAGTACAGAATTTCATAAGTCAGAATCCTCCCTAATTCTACCTTTTTAGTTCCTTTCACAAGTTAAAAATGATACTTATAAAGAGTTCTTAAAAAAATAGGGAAATGCTTATGATAAAATGTCAAGCTAAAAGAGACTGGATGCAAAAATAGATATACTTTGTGAGCTCAAACTATGTAAAATTGCAAAAAATATTAGGGAAAATATATTAAAGAAAAAAGTGAAACAAAGACTCGAGGGCATATACCAAAGGTTAAAGAGGGGTCATCACTGGCAGGTTGGACTCTGAAAGATGGCTATTTTTTCATTTAGTTTTGTGTCTTTCTTTTGGAAATGCCATAAGTTGTAGTTTAAAGAAATTCCAGAATGAACATTAAATTTGATTGTATATGTAGAAAGGAGTATAGTAGGAGTGAACTTGGAAATAGGGAAGTGTTAAGTGGTTCATTAAATTAGGAGAAAATATTAAAAGAGTACATCTTTCAGGGTCCACCCAGAAAAACAAAAATCATACTAAGAATTAAAAACATACTAGATTCAATTCAGGAAATAGCTTATCCAGATGACAGGAGAGCTAAAAAGAGAGTAAGAATGTAGAAAAAGCCCAGAGATGACCAGGAACCAGGGTCATACCATGGAAGCTGGAACCAGGACAGCTGAGCCTCATTTCTTCACCCATAAAAATGTGGGAGTGAGAGAGGCTGAGGAAGGATACTCCAGTTCCCCGCTTTCTTTCCACTCTTCAATCTCCCAACAGGGCTTTCCGCTGGCTAAACTCTGCCAGCAGCCAACTTTCATGGAGCCTGGGAAATGCAGTCTACAGGGGTTGGCACCCTGCAAAATGGCAGGACAGAAGTTGGGATGGATCTGAAGGCAAACAGGCCCAGGACCAACAGGAAGCAAGTAAACATTAGATCAAATATCAGATAGATTCTAGGTCAGGTCAATAAAGAATAGAAGTACATATGCTGACAATTTTTGGGGAATGTAAGTTTTATGCATATGTAATTAACTCAAGGCAAACAATGCCTAGTTTAATAGTTAACTCATGGTATCAGTGTATTACTTTGCTAGGGCTTCCATAACAAAACACCCCACAGACTGTAGCTTAAACAACAGCAATTTATTTTACATGGTTTTAGAAACTAGAAGTCCAAGATTAAAAGGTGTCAGCAGGTTTGGTTTCTTCTGAGGCCTCTGGTTTGCAGATGGCCGGCCTCTTGCTGTGTCCTTCTACAGCCTCTCCTCTGTGCACACACATCCATGGTATCTCTTTGTAGGTACAATATCCCCTTTTTTATTTTTATTTTTGTGGGTACATAGTAGGTGCATATTATTTACAGGGTATGTGAGATGTTTGGATACAGGCATGTAACGTGAAATAAGCACATCACGGAGAATGGGGTATCCATCCTCTCAAGCATTTATCCTTCGAGTTACAAATAATTCAATTATATTCTTTATTTTAAAATGTACAATTGAGTTATTATTGACTATAGTCACCCCATTGTACTATCAAATAGCAGTTGTTATTCATTCTAATTTTTTGTATCCATTAACCATTCCCACCTCCCCGCTCCCTTCAACCCCCTACTACCTTTCCCAGCCTCTAGTAACCATCCTTGTACTCTCTATGTTCATGAGTTTAATTGTTTTGATTTTTAGATCCCATAAATAAGTGAGAACATGGGATATTTGTCTTTCTGTGCCTGGTTTATTTCACTTAACATAATGGCCTCCAGTTCCATCCATGTTGTTGCAAATGACTAGGACACCAATCATATCAGATTAGGGCTCACTCTAATCACCTGTTTAAAGGCCTCTTCTCTAAATATAGTTACATTTTGAGGTACTGGGGGTTAGGGCTTCAACATATGAATTTTAGGTGGGACAAAATTCAGCCTATACCAACCAGTGTCTCCCAAACTTTCCTGATAACAGTAGTCCCCTAGGGGGTCACTTGTTGAACACACAGGTTCCCAGGCCCTTCACCTGGAGATATGGTTTGATCTGCCCAGACCTAGTGTTGTAGATTAAAAATGGCCACAAATTGTTCCCTAGTCCTCCCATTAAAAGACAGAGTCTAATTCCCATTCCCTTGGATCTAGATTGGCTGTGGTGGCTTCATTGACCAATGGAATGGAGTAAAAGAGACATTCTGGGACTCCTAAAGCCTTACAGCCTCTGCCCAGTGCCCCTGAAACATTCACATTTGGAAAAGCCTACCACCAAATAGGAAGTCTGGCTACCCTGAGACTACCATGCTGTGAGGAAGCCCAAGCTAGCCATGTAGGGAGACTATACAGAGAGAGAAAAACAAAGAAAGAAAAATAGCCAGCCCAACTGTTCCTGCCCAGGCATCAGATATGGTATTAAAAAAACCATCTTAGACATTCCAGCCCCAGCAGACACAATGTAGGGGGAGAAAAAGAAGGCAGCTTGTGATATTGTGGAAATATTAATATATGTGGTCTTTGTCCTACCTCCTGACATACAGCTCCTAAAACCTTTGGAATCTCTCAAGTGATAGTGTCTTTTGTGTGCTAACAAGATGACTGGTGGCTGGGGGCCCCTAGGCAGCTTCAGGATGGGGGCTGGCCACTGGAAAGACCAAAGCATGATTAGAAGGTTGGGACTTTCAGCCCCATCCTGCAACTTCAGGAGTGGGGCAGGGAGAGGGAATAAAGGTTAAGTTGATCATCAATAACCAGTGATTTAGTCAGTCGTGCCTATACAATGAAGACTCCATAAAAAGCCCAAAAGGACTGCCTCAGGGAGCTTCTGGACAGTGGAACATGTGGAGGTTCCTTAAGGGTGGCACACCCAGAAATGACATAGAAACTATTTCCCACATGCCTTGCCCTGTGCATCTCTTCCATCTGGCTGTTTCTCTGTATCCTTTTAGTATCTTTTATAATAAACTGGTAAACCATGTCTCCCTGAGTTACCTGAGGCACTCCAGCAAATTAACTGAATCTGAAGAGGGGATCATGCGAACCCCAATTTTTAGCTGGTTGGCCAGAAGCACAGGTCACAACCTGGGGCTGATGATTGGTATCTGAAGTTGGGGACACTTAGGGACTAAGCCCTTAATCTGTGGAATCCAATGCTGCCTCCAGGTAGATAATGTCAGAATTGAATTTAATTATAGGGCACCCAGTTGGTGTCTGCTGAAGAACTGATTGGCTGCTGGTGGGGAGAAATCCCCACACCTTTTTCTGTGTTGCATGGTTTGTTTGAGACTAGGAAAAACATTTTCATTTTCCTATCTCTACTGTAACTACAGACAGAACTAAAGCCCCCTACATATGGCCCTAATACACCTTTCCCACCCATTCCAACTGTTAGAGCCATCTCAGCTAAGGTACCAAGCATTGTGGAGCAAAGATAAGTCATCTTCACTGTGCTCTGCCTGAATTCTTGCGGTGCAAAATTATGAGCATAATAAAATGGTGGTTGTTTATGCCACCATGTCTTGGGGTCAGAAATAGATAAATGAAACGCCTGGCTAGTGTTCTGGCAGTCTTCAGTGGCAATCTGGTCAAACCCCAGGCTCAATTAAGATTGTGCTCCAATGCCCACAGATGAATGCAGAAATAGTGATGGTGGGAAGGGGGAAGGTAGGGTCTTGAGGATAAATGATGGTGCTCAGACATATAACTCCACTGGGGAGAACATCAGAGGCCCTAGAAGGGTTCAGGGGAGCAGTGGGGGGCCAGCCATACGAAGCTCCCTGCTTGTTTCAGCTTCTGGGCTTTCACACTATTCTTTGCCTATCCGAATGTCCTCTGTTCTTTCCTTCCCTTCTCTTCTTCATCCTAGTCCTTTGCTGTCTTTCAGCCCTGTTCAAGAGTTGCTTCCTGCAGTAAGTGGGATCTGACCTGCTTCTAATTAGTCTCATTTCCTACATTCTTCAGTGCCTATATACAGAAAATGGAGAAATAATTGTCGCTTGGTAAAGTACTTTGTGAACTGTGAAGCTCTGTTTAAAAGTTCATTCTATAAATTCTCGCTTCTATGTTGCTTTTTTTTTTTTTTTTTTGACAGAGTCTTGCTCTGTTGCCAGGCTGGAGTGCAGTGGCGCAATCTTAGCTCACTGCAACCTCTGCCTCCTGGGTTCAAGTGATTCTCCTGCCTCAGCCTCTTGAGCAGCTGGGATTACAGGCGCATGCCACCACACCCAGCTAATTTTTGTATTTTTTAGTAGAGATGGGTTTTCACCCTGTTGGCCAGGAGGGTCTCAATCTCCTGACATTGTGATCCACCTGCCTCGGCCTCCCAAGGTGCTAGGATTATAGGCATGAGCCACCGCACCTGGCCTAATATTTTGTATTATTAGTAGAGACAGGGTTTCACCATGTTGGCCAGGCTGGTCTTGAACGCCTGACCTCAGGTGATCCACCCGCCTCGGCTTCCCAAAGTGCTAGGATTACAGGCATGAGCCACCTTGCTTGGCCCTCTATGTTGCTTTTTACACACTCTTGCATATATGACACCTCCAGAGTCAAGAATTGATGGTCAGAGAGAGGGGTATTTCCACTTGCTGCCTTCATGTCCCTTTTTCAAAACTCCTGGAATCCATTGCATGTTCTGAGGTATGAGCTGACATCACACACAACAGCAACACTTGCAGACTTCGATGTTTACAAGTACTTTATTAGTGTCTCAGAACACTCTCCACTCCATACCAAAACTAACTGGCATGTTCAATCTTCCCTGGAACATGTGGTACATAGTGAGAAGAGGTGGATAGCTTCCACTGCTGGAAGACCTTAGATGTTAAATGTTGGGAGACAGTTCTCCACGGTCTCTGACATTTCTGCACATCTTATAAGCGAGACCCTGATAGCTTTTGTTCCAGATTATCTTTCCAAGGATGTTCATATAGTGAACAGACTTGGAAGACAGAGATATTGTTTCCCTCTGAGGCAAAGGGCAGATTTGTTTACTGACAAGTATAAGAAAGATAATGCCTCCGCCCCAGGACAAAGCAGATTTGTTTGTAGCCTCTTGTAAAAACTGGAATTTCCTAAGCTCAAAGTTCCTCAACTATAATGCAAACCCACAGCACGCGCAGCATCTACCTGGGCCCCTCTGCATTGCTACTGTGGGACTTGGGGGTAAGAAGTACGAATACAAATATGCTAAAGTTCATGCTGCCTGCTTTGCTGTGAGTCATTAAGTCCTTTGTCTCTGATCCAGGAGTCTCATAACTTCTGCCAGCATCCATGAAACTGTGGCAGGCTAACTTGTTAGCTAGCAGGTAGGGTAAATCTCAGACCTTGACACTTTACAGTTCTTGACATCAGGTAATAGAGTATACATGCCTCCCCTCTGAAACACCTGCTCCAGCCCCTCTCATTCTCCCTATCCAAAGTACTTCCTTCTATCATACTCTTAATTACAAGACCCACTGCTTGTGCTGGCACATTACAAGAGACGCTGAAGATAAATGTAATTAAGTGAGTAATCTGGGTGCTAGACACCAATTTCTGTCAGAACCAGCCATGCTGAGGGGATAATGATATTAATGATAGCAGCTTTTGCTCTGAAGGGAAATCTTTTCAGGAATGTCCTTTTCCCTACAGAGCTTCTCTCCTCCACCACCCTTGCGCACCCCTCATGACTATTTTCTTGCTGTCTGGAATGTTCACATCCTCTAATCCAATATCTCTACTGCAGAATCTAAATTATCTGAGGACCTTTTAAAACATGCAGACTCCTCCCCCAACCCCAGACCTACTGAATAGAGTCTCTGGTGGTGAGGCCTAGCAATCTGCATTTTTTAAAAAGTGCCCCAGGTGATTCTTGCGTACGTTTAAGTTTGTTCTAAATGCTGGGGGCTCAACTCTAGCTGCACATAAAAACATAATGCCTGGCTGCAGCCTGAAGAGTCTCAATAATTGTTCTAGAGTAGGGCCCACACGTGGGTTTTTTGTTTGCTTGTATGTTGTTGGTTTGCTTCATTTCTGGGGTTTTTTAAAATGTTTCCCTAGGAGATTCCATTTGCAGTCAGGGTTGAGGACTTCCAGTTTATCTACCCTACTGGGACAGTAACCAGGTGAAAATGCACATATTGAGGACTTTTCCCTAATATTCCTTTGCTCAAACATCCTAATTGCCCTTCAACAAAGCCATTTAGTCTTCCTCCTTCAAATATGAATCTTAAAATCTCTCCCCACCTGGTAACTCTCTAATAATCACTTACAACAGAAATCTACCCCCACATTGTAGACTTAATTGGCCTGTTCCCTTTCTTTTATTTCACCTTGGCACTCTAATTAATCCATTTATAGTTCATCTATCCATCAATCCATGTGCACCTTGCTAAAGATACTTTCAGAAACAACTGGGTTTCTCCTGGCTGATTACTCTGCCATTCATGGCCTCTCTCCTCTCTGCCCCTCCCCACAGCACCCAAATCTCCAGGGGAATAGAAACTTAGGTGAAGATGGCCTTTCATACCAGAGGCTTAGGGACTTCTGCCAATAGAGACTGAACAGCTGCTGAAGATCCTTGCCTCACCTTCCTGACATATGCCCTGTGTTTGGATGGTGTATTAGTCTGTTCTCACACAGCCAATAAAGACATACCCAGGCCAGATATGGTGGCTCACACCTGTAATCCCAGCACTTTGGGAGGCCAAGGCAGGTGGGTCACCTGAGGTCAGGAGTTCCAGACCAGCCTGGCTAAAATGGCGAAACCCCCGCCTCTACTAAAAACACAAAAATTAGCTGGGCGTGGTGGTGGGCACCTGTAATCCCAGCTACTCAAGAGGCTGAAGCAGGAGAATCACTTGAAACCAGGATGAAGAGTTTGCAGCGAGCTGAGATCAAGCCACTGCACTCCAGCCTGGGCGACAGAGTGAGTCTCTTTCTCAAAAAAAGAAAAGATAAAAAACAAAGATAGTTCAATCTACATGTCCAGGTCCTAATTACTGTGTCTTTCAGCAAGATATCCCACCCGCACCAAGGTGAGCTCTGAGCAATGCTGCCAAGTCATTAAGATCCCCCTTCAAAATAAATCACCTGCATAATTCAGCATCATTCCCATCTTCTACCCCTCCTCCCAACTGGCAAACAAGTGTCCCATCACCCCTGTCAAAAACCCTGCTCAGGAGGAATTGGATACACTCAGGCTTGGAGGACTGATGAGGCCTCAGGAGCAAAACATCTTAAGTCAAAGGAACGAGTTACTTTAATGGTTGAAATTTGGACTGTGTTGAACTGAAAGGAATGATTCCCTAGGGGAACTGTGAGAGGGTTTTTACTCCTAGGGAAAGAGGAACATGTTTATTGGCCTTAGCTCCCTGCTGATGAACACATAAACTAGGGAAGTTGTAGATTTCAGTATTTCATCCAGTAAATAACTGGACACCTGCTTAGGACAGGTTCTGGTTGGGCACTGCATGGATTCAGTAGTATATATGACAAGGTCTCACCTCTGGAACTTACCATAAAAGGCAATCACACTTTAAGATTTTTAAAATAGCATCTGTTACACATTTGCTAAGCATTGCTTCTAATCATCTTTAACTTATTCACTCATTTAATCCCTACTACAACCCCATGGAGTTTGCTGCTGCTATTACCCTATTTACATTTGGGAATGCTGAGGAACAGAGAAGGGAAATAACAGAACCAGGACTGAACTCAGGAAGCCTGGCTTGAGAATCCATGTACCTAACCACTGGGGTAAATGTCTTCAAGAGACGCCTGACACACAATATCCAGGAGTGCTATGCTCCTCAAGGGCGGCCCCTTCTGAGGCTGCATTATTCTAAGGGCATTGCTGTTCCTCAGAGGAGTCCTGTATCCTCTCTCTACCAACTTTCCCTCAAGGTCTTATGAAGATACTCCACTGAAAACATCCTTTTTCTCTGATGAAGAAACCATGGTAAAAAAGCTGGGCCCTGAAACCAGGTAACCTGATTCCAGCTCACCATGAAAGTGTGACTCTAACAATGCCTCTGCCACTCCTAACCTGATTCAGAGGGCAATTCCCTTGACCCAGGGGCAGATACCACAGGTCTTCCTCCATCTCCCAGCAACTGGCACCACCCAGCACCTGCCTGTTGCACTGAACCTGCTTACAATCCAGGTAAAAACAAGTATACCAGTGGCCTTGACAATGAAAGGGGAGGGGCACTACCACCCTCTCAGTGCTAGGCTGACAAATGACCCTTGAGTGGCCTTGGTCTACCTCAGATCCTCTTCTCCCTCTCCCCACCTACTTTGCAGGTTTATGAGGCAGCTCCCCAGAGCAAGGCAGAGGACAACTGGTGCCATCTATGCACCAGGTTCGCCTGAGCTGAAGGCATCTCATGGTGAGACTCTGACCAGAGGAACAGGAAGGAACAAACTCTGGAGCAACTACTGCTCACGACAGAGTCAGCACCAGACAGACCTGCCAAGGAAGGCGAGTCCTCAACCTTGGAGGATCACAGTGGATACAATCCAGCACAGAAGCCCCACAATCACAGCTTTAATTAGAGCTCCGAGAGAAAGACAAAGGTAGCAGGGAAGAGAGGAAGCCCAAGGTGGTCCCTTTTCTAACTAGGAAGGGACAGAAATTCAAGCTGCCTAGAATAAACATGGGGCCCAAGAACAAGCTTTGGCCCGAAGCTTGACATAAGTTTTGGTAGCTTGTTGCATTTGTTAGAGGTTAGGTGCAGTGGCTCACGCCTGTAATCCCAGCAATTTGGGAGGCCAAGACGGGCAGATGGTTTGTGCTCAGGAGTTCGAGACCAGCCTGGCCAACATGGCGAAACCCTGTCTCTACTAAAAATACAAAAATTAGCCAGGTGCAGTGGCATGAACATGTAGTCCCAGCTACTTGGGAGGCTGAGGTAGGAGAATCACTTGAGCCCAGGAAGTGGAGGTTGCAGTGAGCCAAGATCACGCCATTGCACTCCAGCTTGGGCAACAGGAGTGAAATCCTATCTCAAAAGCAAAACAAAACAAACAAACAAACCTCCATAAATGGGGAAATTAAGATGGTTGCTAGCTATACTGAACTGGCTCCTCCTATTCATCATTTAAATGCATTCATACAGATCCACCCTTCAAAATCCCTGCTTCCAGGCTCATCCCCACCTATCTGCCCATGTCTAAGACATACTATTACTATATACAAATCACTATTTGTTCATTTTTTTAATTCAACAATCATTTATTGGGTGCCCAGTATGTGCCAGATGATAAGAATACAAAATTTGGCTGGAAGATACATAGTTCCAGCCTTCTGGGTATCTCTGGTCTATTGCGGTAAATGAATAAAAGAACCGGAATATAAACATAAGTGCTACAATTTAGATCTACATCACACAATTATAGAAGTGAGGGCAGGAGGGTCAGGAAAGGCTTCAAAGGGGAGTTGAAAATTGACCTGTGTCTTCAGGAATGTGCAGTTTTATTTCAGCAGTAGGGAGAGAATATGATAGGAGAGGTTGTAGGCATTGCTGTCTTGCAGGGCTAGAACACAGGGGAAGAGGCTGGGGATCAAGGTAGAGCTAGGCTAACGAGTTGGGAATTTATTCCACAGACTTACTACACAAGCACTGAGAAGCTTAACCCAAAGGAATGACATAAGATTTGCATTTTAGAATTATAATACCTAATGCTTATGTAATACTTACATTCTTCTAAGCTCTTCAACCATATTAATTCATCCCATCCTTACAACAACATTATGAGGTAGTATTACAATTAATCTCACTTTACAGATGAAGACATAAGGGCACAGAGTGACTTGCTCAAGGTCACAGAGCTACTAAGTGGTGGAGGCAGATTAAAATCCAGATCCATGTGACTCTAGAGCCAAAGTGCTCACACTATGCTCTTTCCAGCCTCCATGCCTGTGTTCGGTTTGTCTAGATTGGAACAACCTTCTTCCTTTTCTGAGAACTCCACCCCATTTTTAAGCAGCAGCTCACCTGTCACTTCCAATATTTCTTCAACATATAATTGCCCCTTCTTCTGTCCCCACAGCACCATATGTATGGTGATTATGGCATTCATTACTACATTCTGATTTGTTTGTATCTCTCTTGACCTATAGGATTCTGAAGGAGCAGGTCCATCTTTTAAGTCCTCAGTCCTTCTCCAACACATTTCCTGGAACAAAGACATTTTTAAAGCTATACAAGATTAATGAACACTTTAAAACAAAAATGCCCTCGGTACTAGTTTGCTAGGACTGCCATAACAAAATATCACAGACTGGGTGGCTTAAACCATAGCAATTTATTTGGTTGCTCTGGAGGCTGGAAGTCCAAGATCAAGGTCGAGCAGGGTTGGCTTCCTCTGATGCTCCTCCCTTTGGCCTGCAGATACAGATGGCTGCCTTCTTGTTGCCTCCTCACACAGTTGTCCCTCTGTGTCCCATGGTGTCTGATATAGTTTGGATGTTTGTCCCCACCCAAATCTTATGTTGAAATGCAATCCCCAGTATTGGAGACAGGGCCTGGTGGGAAGTTTTTGGGCCATGGGGGAGGATCCTTCATGGCTTGGTGCTGACCTTGCAATAGTTAGTTCTCATGAGATCTGGTTACTGTAAAGTGTAGCACCTCCCCAGCCTCTTGCTCCCACTCTCACCATGAGAGATGCCTGTTCCCTCTTCACCTTCCACCATGATTGGAAGCTTCCTGAGACCTCACCAGAAGCAGATGCTAGCACTGTGCTTCCTATACAGCCTGCAGAACCATGAGCCAATTAAACCTCCTTTCTTATAAATTAACCAGCAATTATAAAATTGCCCAGTAATTAATTAAATTATAGCAATGCAAGAACAGCTTAACACAGTCTCTCTCCATGTGCCCTAATCAATCTTCTCTTCTTATAAGGCCATCAGTCAGATTGGGTTAGGGCCCACTCTAACGGCATCATTTTAACTTAATCACCTCTTGAAAGCCTTATTTCTACAGTCACATTCTGAGGGACTGGGATTTAGGACTGCAACATATGAATTTGGGAAGGGCACAATTCAGTTCACAACACCCTATATATATAATATACAAATACTCAATATTTTGAACTTTCCAGCTCCTCTTCCCCAACACTTTATTTTTCTTTTTATGTGTTTTCAGTATGAAAATCTTTAATGAGGAAGAACAGATGTGAAGATGCGGTTTTGGTCAGCATAGATAAGGAGCACTTGGAACCCAGGCATAAAGCACATCTTTCAGGTCTGGAGGCTGATAGTGAGATGGTTAAAGAGGCACTAGATGAAGCCAGATGGGTCTGGGGCACCAGATCTCTCAATCTCCTGAGTCTTTTTCTTGGTTAATACTCCCTGCCTGTGGCAAGGAGACTCTGGGGAGGCCCCCAATGATCCTCTCTCCTTGAGTATATACTGGCTTTGTAGCTTGCTTCTTAATCAGTATAATAAGGCAAAGGTGATGGGAGATCACTTCTGTGGCTAGGCTATGTGCGACTGTGGCTTCCATCTTGCCAGAGGATTCTCTTTCTTGCTGGCTTTGATGAAACAAGCTACCATGTTGGAGAGGCCCACATAACAAAGACCAGAGATCAGCCTCTGCAACAAGAAACTGAGACCCTCAGCCCCAAAACCCTTGAGGAACTGCCAACAACCATGTAAGTCAAGTCAGCTTTTTCCACGTAGGTCTTCACATAAGACTCCAACCCTGGACGATATCTTGATTGCAGCCTCCTAAGAGACCATGAAGCAGGGGACCCAGAAAGCTGTGTCTAAATTCCTGAACCACAGAAATTGTCAGACAATAAATGTGTGTTATTTCAAGCCGTTAAGTTTTGGAGCAATTTGTTACACAGCAATAAATAACTAATACACTTCCCAAAAAGTCCTCTCTCTAACCTCCAAATATTTACTGCCCTATTGTTTTAATTTCTGACCAACTAATGTCTTCCAGCATCCACGTTTGTATTTAATTCCCTTCGGATAATTTTATCTTGTATATAATTTTCATCAGCTTGATTTTGCCTACTGCAAAAGAATAGAGTCACTATAAAGGCACGCCAGGGACACTAACATGGAAATATCCAAACTCAGGTTGGTAACAAGATGTTTATCCCTGATCTGCTACAAGATCCCTGTACCCTGTACCTAAAACACATGGGAATACTCACTCTACCACTTGACTTGGCTTCTCTTTTCTGTTTCCTCCTTCCCCATCAGAGAAGAGATGCTGTGCTCCTGTCCCTCCTAGGAACCACTTTCCACTACAAACAGTGTTGCACAGCACATTCATATCTATCCTAGGCCTTTCTGCCTTCCTTCTTTCCTCCCAATTCCTTCCAAACGACTGCAGCAAAAGATTCCTCTCCCTCCCCTCCACGTTCTCCTCCCTGCTTTGTTCTATTTTAGAGCCAAAAATAATGCTAATCATGGCAGATAAGTGCAAGATTGGTGCCAGGGATTTACACCTGCATCAGGAAAAAGGGAGAGCCATGCATTTCGTAGTAAATTAGAGCTAATAATGAACCAAAGCCAGCAACTTTTAAAGCCTTTAAAAGCACCCCAAAACCTCACCTCCTCATCCTCTAATTTAATTTAACCTGCTTCTGATCATGAGCAGCTTTCCAGAAAAAAATGTAATAGGACTCTTGCTTGGTGTGGTTTTTGCTATGATTATTAAAATAATGTTGCTCTCTCCTTTATGTTTTTTTCATTGTAACTTATGATATGAGTTATTTTGGGTCTAGCCTGGGAATGTTAACCATCACGCATAAATGTGGATTTTTAGAAAAGCACAAGTGCAGTCTCCATTGCCCAGGCTGGAGTGCAGTGGTGAGATCTTGGCTTACTGCAATCTCTGTCGCCCAGGTTCAAGTGATTCTCATATAACAGCCTCCCGAGTAGCTAGGATTACAGGTGCACACCATCACGCCTGGCTAATTTTTTTTTTTTTTTTTTTTTTTTTGTATTTTTAGTAGAGATGGGGTTTTGCCATGTTGGCCAGGCTGGTCTCAAGCTCCTGAGCTCAAGTGATCTGCTCACCTCAGCCTCCCGAAGGGCTAGGAGTACAGGTGTGAGCCACCCCTAGAAAAGCACAAGAGTAGTTCTGATACCTGACTTATTAATGGATTTTTAGATATAACACACTTGTAAGTTGGGGTCAGATACATACAGAGTGAGGACAGTGTTGTTCATTACAGGAAGTGGGGTGAGAGACAGAGATGAATAAACGTGGGCAAGGGGCCATGGAGAACTCGGAGGAAGGAGAGCAGAGAGAGAAGTGGGCTGTGTGGGAAAAGAGAGCCAGGGCAGGGGCATGGGAGGGCAACCTTTACTGAGTAGCTAATATGTGAGGGTCACTGAGCTAGAGATTTCTCATGTTGCTGTAGTGAATCCTCATGAGTCCAACGAGGGAGGTCCTCTTCTGCCATTTAAGAGATGGCTGCTTCTTAGAGAGTGTATACGACCTGCTGAAGGTCACACAGCTGATAAGTGGTGGGCCAAGATTCCAACTTGGGTCTCTCTGAAGATCTGGCAAGGACCTTCTTGCCAGTTCCCTGTGCACCTTCTTTTCTTTTCCCTTCTTTTTCTAGGTTAGGGAAGAGGGAGAGGAGTCGCTTATTCTACCTTTCTTGATGAAAGCTGGGGGAAGGCAACACTAAAGCACATGGCAGAGGAACTCTGGGGAACCAGAAAGTTTTTATTTCCTAATGGAAAGCTCTATAGCCTTCAAGGTAGGAGCTGGAGGATGGAGACAACAGGTCTAGAACTGCTCAGGAGCACTAGAAAGAGAAAAACCAGGCACTCGTGCCAAAAGTTGCTACAGCCTCCTTTGGCAGGTGAGAAACAAAATAGCCCCAGTGGGGAAGGGCAAAGGCAAGGTCAGCAGCTGAGAAGAGCCACAGTGATGAAACCAAGAAAGGTTGAACATACCCCCACCACACAAGCAGTTACCCCAGGCTCAAGCTCAGCATTGTTCTGATCAAAGTTTGTGTCAATGATTATGGTTAGTGGACAACTGATGAAAAGGAAGCTATACAACTATGTATCTCGGGCATTCATTCCTTTAAAATGTTTGCTCAGGAAGAATTATAGTAGTCCCCCCTTATCCACAGTTACACTTTCTGCGATTTCAGTTACTGGCAGCCAGCCTCGGTCCGAAACTAGGTGAGTACAGTACAATAAAATACATTAGAGTAAGAGAGACCATATTTGCATAACTTTTATTGCAGAATAGCCATGCACCGCATAACAACGTTTTGGTAAATGACAGACCATATATATGATGGTGGTCCCATAAGATTATGATGGAGCTGAAAAACTCCTACCACCTAGTGACATCATAGCTGCTATAACATTGTAGCACAACACACACATTACTCACGTATGTGGTGATGCTGGTGTAAAGAAACCTGCACTCCCAGTTGTCTAAAAGTATAACACATACAATTATGTACAATGCATATTTGATAATAATAAATAACAATGTTACTTGTTTATATATTTGCTAAAAAAACTGGTTCATATATTTGTTTAAAAAGTTAACTGTAAAACAGTCTAAGCAGGTCTTTCAGGAAGTATTCTAGATGGAAGCATTGTTACCATAGGAGACAACAGCTCCATGTGTGTTATTGCCCCTGAAGACCTTCCAGTGAGACAAGATGTGGAGGTAGAAGACAGTGATATTGATGATTCTGACCCTGTGTAGGCCTAGGCTAATATGTTTGTGTATTTATTTGTTAAAAAAAAAGTTTTAAAAGTTTTAAAAATTTTTTTAAAGAAAAAAGCTTACAGAATAAGAATATAAAAATATTTTTGCAGAGCCATACACCTATTCGTGTTTTAAGTTGTGTTATTACAAAAGTATCTATAAAGTAAAAAGAATTACAATAACCTAAGGTTAAACAAAACATTTATTAATTTTTTTTTTTAGAGACAGGGTTTTGCTCTGTCACCCAGCAGGCTGGAATGCCATAGTGTGATCATAGCTCACTGTAGCCTTGAACTCCTGGGCTCAAGCAATCCTCCCACTTCAGCCTCTCAAGTAGCTGGGGCTACAGGTGTGTGCCCCCATACCCAGCTAATTTTTTAAAAAAATGTTTATAGAGACTGGGTCGTTATGTTGCCCAGGCTGGTCTGAAACTCCTGGCCTCAAGCGATCCTCCCCTCTAGACCTCCAAAGCTCTAGAACTATAGACATGAGCCACTGCATCTAGCTAATAAAAATATTTAAATAAATTTAATGTAGCCTAAGTGTACAGTGTTCATAAAGTCTGGTAGTGTACAGTAATGTGGTAGGCCTTCACATTCACTCACCACTGACTCACCCAAAGTAAATTCCAGTCCTGCAAGTTGCATTTATGGTAAGTGTACTATACAGGTGTACTATTATTAATCTTATACCATATTTTTACTGTATCTTTTCTATGTCTAGATAGGTTTAGATACATGAATATTTATCATTGTGTTACGATTGCCTACAGTATCTGGTACAGTAACATGCTACACAGGTCTGTAGCCAAGGAATGATAGGCTATACCATACAGCCTAGGTGTATAGTAGTCTGTACCATCTAGATTTGTGTAAGTACATTCTACGAGGTTTGTACAATGAAATTGCCTTATGACACATTTCTCAGAACATAACCCTGTTCACTAAGTGGCACATGACTATAATTCTTATAATTGTTGTATTTTTAAATTAGTTATTGTTAATCTCTTATGGTGGCTAATTTATAAATTAAACTTTATTATAGGTATGAATATAGAGGATAAAACAGTATATGTAGGGTTTGGTACTATCCACGGTTTCAGGCATCCACTGAAGTTCTTGGAAAGTATCACCCGCAGAAAAGGGGAACTACTATATTTTCCTTTTAGCACTTGCTTAGTGTTCCTTAAACATGACCCTTTTAGTAAAGAGGTATGTTGTAGATACAACAAGAGGGCTATGAAACATGTGTTCATCTTTTATCTCAGGTAGGCATTTGGGTGCCACTGCTTGGACCTATAAATCCAGGTAGAACCCGGGTTTCTGCCCTTTGAAAGAGCAGCCCAGGTGGCACTGATGCAAGTTGTCCAGATCACACTTTCTAAAACACTTGCATGGACCAAGTAGCTATGGTAAAGTCCACCTATTACCCAGAGATCCATGGATTAGATTGGGGCTGATTTCCAAGAGATGGGGCTTAGGAAACTGGGAAAACTGCAGAGGATAAAAAGAAACTTCTGGGCTACTGGCCACTAAAATACAGCGATCTTTAGCATGGTAGGAACCATCCCTCCCCAGCACATCACAATCATCTTGTCAATGACTCCTTATGACCCCTACCAAAGCTTCTGACTCATTTGGGACCCCCCAACTCCCTAATATTCCTCCAAATTAGCTGCCATTCTTGATGCTTTTACTAGACTATAGCCAGTCCAGGATTTTACAAGACACCAAAAATGTATCACCATGTGGGTAATCTGCATGGATATTACTGAGCCTGAAAAATGATCACTTCACCAACTACTACTGCAGGGCTTCCTCAGGGTGGGTTCCCTGGGAACTCCAGTCATCCTGGTCCATCTTCTCCAGGTGATCCTAATATAATCCAGGCTAAGTCACTGTTCTAGGAGGTAAAAAACAACTGAAAAGACTTGCTGTTTTAGGAAGATTGATTTGGGGAGCTAAAAAGGAGTAATGCCAGGTTACCCTGGATATTTATTGTGTTTAAAATGCAACAGAGGGCTTTGCCTGAGTCCACACTTGCCAAGCAATAGTCTTGCCCGGAGTGTTTGAGAAATGGCAGGCCTGTTCTTAGAGACAACACACGCAGAGTTCTCCATCCTGCACAGAGCTGAGTCCTCAGACTCCCAGGCCCTGTGAAAAGGAAGGGACAGAGAATAAAGAAACCCCATTACCATACTTGCCCCAGGCAGTGATGCCCACCAGGCATCCTGTCCACCTCTAAGAAGAGATAGACTGCCCTCTCTCTCTTAGTCTTCTTAGTGTGCCTCTTCTCAGGAAAGGTCAGGTGATCCTTGCTAAGTGCTTTGAGCCCTTGGGACCCAATGGGCCTCTCTGCCCTGGGAGTCTGACAGGAAATCAATCTGCTGTCTCCTTTGCATTGCGAATAGTGTGGATACCCATCAGGTAAGAGGTAATCTCCAAGTTCCCTCCCAACACCAACAGTCTGTAATTCCTTTTAGCCAAGACCTAAGGATGCCTATTTAACATGAAGCAAGGAGAGAACTAATCTACAGTTAGAAAATACATCTCCCAAATTTCCTTGAAAACAGGAGATAGCAGTGCTATGAACAAACCAGACAAGCAGAGCACCTAACTGAACCTTGCTTTGCATCAAAAGAAACTGAGATCAGACTGGAAAAATGACTTAAACACAAGGTGATACAGTTGATGGTTAAGCTTGAGTTGGAGCCGGGACTCCTAGCTTCTCCTGCTTGTCTCCCTCCACAGTTTGGGTCAGCCAACTTCGGCTTGACAGTGCATACCCTGACTTTTGGCACGAGCAGCTGCTTTATCCTCTTCACAGTATTTGGTTCCAATTGATATCCCAAAGTGTCAAAATCCCTGAGTACACACCAGTCAACGGTGAGGACTGAGACCATGGCCACAGTTGGGTGGCAGAGAGAAGCCAATCCAGGATTTTACAAGACACCAAAAACGTATCACCATGTGGGTAATCTGCGTGGATATTACTGAGCCTGAAAATGATCACTTCAACAACTACTACTGCGGGGCTTCCTCAGGGTGGGTTCCCTGGGAACTCCAGTCATCCCGTTCCATCTTCTCCAGGTGATCCTAACATAATCCAGGCCAAGTCACTGTTCTAGGAGGTAAAAAACAACTGAAAAGACTTGCTGTTTTAGGAAGATTGATCTGGGGAAGCTAAAAAAGAGTAATGCCAGACCAGAGAGGCTGGTCAGGGGGCTTTGCAGGCACCTACACAAAAGGTAAAAAGGCAGGGATGGGTGGAAAGGAAGAGATGCAGACAAGAGGTTATAAAGGGGGGCTACTGGGTCTAAAACCTAAGATGAAAGAGCCCCAGAAGAGAGAAAATCATGAAAAAACTCAAAATTTTAGGTCTTGAGAAAGAGGGGCAATGTATCTTGAAGGAGAGGCTGAGTTTAATTTTAGACATGTTAAAGAAGATATTCACATAGAGTCTCAGAGAGGACAGCTAGAGAATAGAGGCTGAAATCTAAAAGAGAGGACAGCTAGAGAATAGAGGCTGAAATCTAAAAGATTTGAGCAAGGCAACCACGTCTGTGCTGGGCCTGGAGAACAGGCCTGGACACTTGGCTGTACACACTTCCACATCCTGGAGAGCAGGCCTGGACCCTGGGCAGCGCACATCTCCACATCCTGGAGAACAGACCTGGACACTTGGCTGTACACATTTCCCCATCCTGGAGATCAGGCCTGGACACTCGGCAGCGCGCACCTCCACATCCTGGAGAGCAGGCCTGGACCCTCGGCAGCGCACATCTCCGCATCCTGGAGAACAGGCCTGGACACTTGGCTGTACACATTTCCCCATCCTGGAGATCAGGCCTGGACACTCGGCAGCACGCACCTCCGCATCCTGGAGAGCAGGCCTGGACCCTCGGCAGCGCGCATCTCCGCATCCTGGAGAGTAGGCCTGGACACTTCGCAGCGCACATCTCCGCATCCTGGAGAGCAGGCCTGGACCCTCGGCAGCGCGCATCTCCGCATCCTGGAGAGCAGGCCTGGGCCCTAGGCAGTGCACACAGCGCTAGGTGCCTGGTACCTCCAGGCATGCGTCTCCCATTCCTAATATTCCTTCCGCATCTTGAGTGCAGAGAACTTGGTCTGTTGATATTCCATGTGCCTCACCATACATAACACAGGGCACGTGGCAAGTACAGAACCAAAGCCTCTCCTGGATGCACACGTGGGCTGGGCTGTGCCTGCCAGCTGCAGGGCCCTACAAATCACCTCATCCTCCACATTAATTTTTTATGACAATAGAAGTCAAGCTGGCCCAGGGATATGGGACACTGGTCCTGCCAGCTGCCCCTTTGGAAGGACAACACAAAGTCCTCACATGGACTGACCAGGCATTAAAGAAAGCCCCACTAGGACTTAAATTCTGCTACTGTTTTCTCAATTCTGAAGATGGTGACTAGCTTACGGAAACCGAGCTATCCTCAAACATCTTCTCCTGCCAAGGATTATAAGAGCTGAAATCAAGAGAGAAAGAGCTCTGACAGACACAGCTTTCCTTCCTCTGGGAAAGCTCTCCTTCTCTGGATATGCTCCATTGACAAGGGGCCTGGACAGTCCTGCTCTGTAGGGGGAGAGGAGTTGGCAGAGGCTCAGCTCCAGGCCACATGCATGGGGGCCTGAGGGGAATCCTGCACTTATGCCCTCCTCCTGGGAGACAGATGCGATTAAGGACTTCTGGGCACCTTGCCAAATGGCCTAACATCCTGGGGATGGAGGAGTGGCCCAGGTGCTCGAAGAAGGGAGCTTGGCTTGGGAGTTTCTAGTAGAAAGGCCCAAACCTGAGGGCAGATTGGCAGCAACTGACAAGCTAGTGAGCCTTGTGTATAAAATGCTATACTTTTTTTCCTTTTTTTAAGACAGAGTCTTGCTCTGTCGCCCAGGCTGGAGTGCAGTGACATGATCTTGGCTCACTGCAACCTCTGCCTCCCGGGTTCAAGAGATTCTCCTGCCTCAGCCTCCCAAGTAGCTTGGACTACAGGCACACACCACCAGGGCCAGGCATTTTTTGTATTTTTAATAGAGATGGGATTTTGCCATGTTGACCAGGCTGGTCTTAAACTCCCAACCTCAAGTGATCCATCCACCTCAGCCTCCCAAAGTGCTGGGATTACAGGCATGAGCTACCATGCCTGGCCCAAATGCTATACTTTTAAAAGTACCCACCTCTCTGCTGCAGAAAGCCCATGGAAGTACCAGGAATTTTTTGATAATGATAAATAGTGGGGCATTTTGTATGTCATGGTAACAATAACAAGTTTTATATATTTTCTTCCAAAGCTCCTGGAGTGAATCTCATCCCAGTCTATCCTGATGGGGATTTCTGAGGCCTTGCCCTGATCTTTCTAGGTAGCCCTGACACATGGCCATTCAAAAGCACAGGGACGGTGGCTCATGCCTGTAATCCCAGCAGTTAGGGAGGCCGAGGTGGGCGGATCACGAGGTCAGGAGCTCGAGACCATCCCGGCCAACATGGTGAAACCCCATCTCTACTAAAAATACAAAAATTAACCAGGCGTGGTGGCACATGCCTGTAATCCCAGCTACTCGGGAGGCTGAGGCAGAAGAATCGCTTGAACCAGGGAGTCAGAGGTTGCAGTGAGCCAAGATCACGCCATTGCACCCCAGCCTGGTGACAGAGCGAGACTCTGTCTCAAAAATAATAATTAAAAAAAGCACAGGAAACCTTGGTCCCTTTCCTCTCACTCCCCCTTCTCCCAATTATCACTAGGCCAGCAGGCCAAGGCAAAAGACAAACAAAGTAGAGGAAACTTCAATACAATGATTTGTTGACTCTCTACATTCCCCTCTCCTCTATCTCCCAAGTAACTTCAGATTAACCTCAGCATCACTTCTGCAAGGCCTAAGAAAGAGTTAGTGTTTATTCCCAATTCTGTCTGTCCTTTGTTCACTACATCCAGTCTGGAACACCCAGGTCCATAATCTAGCCATAGGCCACTACATAGGCTCTGTTCTCCCAAGCTTTCTCTTTTTATTTTTTCTTTATCAAACTTATTTTAACCATTATAAAAGCAATACATGTTCATCAAATTTTGAAAAATCAGCATAGAAAAGAAAATGACCTAATGTCTCAATTCCACCCCATTCTCCATATATTAACCATATTTTTAATTTACTTCCTTCTAGTCTACTTGCTGTGAATTTTTCTTCCCACCATCCCCACCCCCCAATCACCAATCTGAACCAGACATTCTGGTTCCTTGGCTCTTTCACTAACTAGTTGTGTGACCTTAGGCCAGTTATTATTTAATCTCCTGAAGCCTAATTTCCTGGCTAGAATGATGATGCAGGCTGATTGCAGCAGCTCTGTTCATTCCTATTATATCTGTTTTCCAATGAACTCTTTCACTGAGATTAATAGTCAGATTGGTCAATGAGGAAATAGGACCCAATTTATAAAAATCTACATAAAGCACAACTTTTAAAAAATACAGCCATTGAGTCCCAGGAGATGGGTCATTAAAAGCCTGGAATGGTCTTACCCCATTACTTCCTGTGGACAGCAGAGCCACAACACACAGGGAGCACAGCATTGAGAGGGTTGAGAATAATCACAAAGCCACCCTTTACTGTGCACCTACACAGGCCCAGGAACTCTCTATGTTCCAGGGGCGCCCCTGGCAAATTTTCTTCTCCTATTCTCAACGAACTTGCAATACAAAATTCTGATTGCTAGGGTACAGATAAGAAAAGCTAGGCTTAGTAGGTTCAAAGCCTTGCCCAAGACTTCAGAGCTAGAAGGCTCAGGGCCTGGCCTTGTGTATCCAAATCTTACACCCATGTCCTAAACAGTGACTAGATTCTCTGTGCATCATTTCTGGCTATTCCATCCAGTACTTTGGCAGAATTTCTTGTTATCTGGAGCAGACTTTCTGGCTGGTTTTCTTAAACTCTCTCCCTCTTCCTCCTTGTACATTTATCCTACTGGGATAAGCCCTGCTCACAACAATCATGACAGAGTAAGACAGGAAGACCTTAGGAACTCACGGCCTATTTGGCCAGCAAGCCAAGGTAAGGCGAAGGGGAATGGGGTAGGGGTGAGATGGGCTGATTCAGGAGTCTGAATGAGAGGCCTTGAGCTCATGCTACTCTTGGAATTGATTTTAGTTATTATCACCCATTGTTGAATGAATGACTCCTCAACTCAATCATGCAAAATGAATACACTTATTTTATGGATAAGGAAAATAAGATTCAAAGAAGTCAAGTAACCTACCCAAAGCCATGTAGCCAGTCAGAACTAAGACTGAACTGGCTGAATCCAGGTCTGTCCACCTCCCAAACCCCTGCATTTCCATTCCTCCAAGATGCCTTTCTCACCAAATATCCAATAACCTATGGAAGTAGTTCAAGATCTGCGGAGAGAGAGCTTAAGATACCCATCAAAGCCTTTCCCAGGACCCCAGGAGGATGATTTTATTCAGGGACTCTGAAGGCAACTGCTTGCAGTTATTAAACCACCTGCTGAGAATCCAAATTCTAATTTGATCTCCACAGGCAGGAATTCCTCAGGGAACATGTAGTTCAAACTTAAGGGAGGATCAGAAAAACAGAAGTCCTTCTGTGGTAGGTTGTTTATAAGATAGCCAAATCAAGTCCTTCTATCCTTATGTGCCCACTCCTTTACAATGTGACTGCCTTTTTTCCCACCAAGAGGTAGGGTCTATTTTGCTACCCCCTCAGTCTGAACTAGCCCATGACTTGCTTTGACCAATCCAGTAGAGCAGAAGAGATGCTGTGTGACTTCTAGGCCTCAACTTCAAGAGGTGTTGCAGCTTCCGCTCTCGTTCTCTTTCAACACTTCTGCCATCACGTAAAGAAACTCAGTCTGGTCTTCTAGTGGATAAGATATCACAAAAAGATGAACAGAGAGAGTTATTCAGCTGACAACCAGCACCAATTGCCAGACTTGTCAGTAAAGCCATCTTAGACCATCCAGCCCCAGTCAAGCTGCCAAATGACTGCAGCTACATGAGTGACTCCAGGTAAGACCAGCAGAAAAACTGCCCAGCTGATGCCAACCCAAGTAGCTAAGCCAGTAAGCAAATAGTTGTTTCAATCCACTAAACCTTGGAGCCTAATTTCCCAAATCCTTACATAGCATTACTCCATCACTTCTGAGAACAGGGGTAGCATAAAGAATGTAGAAATGGGCCAGGTGAGGTTGCTCATGCCTGTAATCCCAACACTTTGTGAGGTCAAGGCAGGCAGATCACTTGAGGCCAGGAGTTCAAGACCAGCCTGGCTAACATAATGAAACCCTGTCTCTACTAAAAAAATACAAGAAATTAGCTGGGCATGGTGGCACACACTTATAATCCCAGCTACTTGGGAGGCTGAGGCATGAGAATCTTTTGAACGACACTCCAGCCTGGGTGACAAAGCGAGACCATGTCTCAAAAAAAAAAAAAAAAAAAAAAAAAAAAAAAAAAAAAAAGAATGTGGAAGTGGAAGGAGTTTATAAAGTATGTCTTAGGCAAGCAGCTCATGTTGTTTGTGCCCTGAGACTCTGCAGGCTTCAAAAAACCCCAAGTCTGGAGCCAGACAGCACTAAGAAGTCTTGATTGCATAAAGAAGAATCAAGCCCAAGGGCCCATAAATGTGAGAGAGGTTTAGAGCTTGCTTTTATTGATCTACAACTTCTCTGTGTGTACTCAAGAGGAAAACGTCTTCTCTCATATATCAACCTGTTGGTCACAGCCAACAACTCTCTGTTGCCTTTTAAAAGAATTCCAAACTCCTTAACCTGACATTTAGGGGCTCTAAATGATCTAAATTCAGGTCTGGGGTTCTAATCCCAATACTGCCACTTATTCACCAGCCATGTGACGCTGGATAAGACACTTCACATCTCTGAGCCTCAGTTTCTTAATAAGTAAAACTGGGATTTTGCATGCATAGATCATGCAGTTGTTATGAAAACTAAGATGACATAAAGTGACCAGTACTATACCTGGCACACAGTGGATGTTGTAAAGTTCCTTCCCAATGGTTCAACACCCTTCATCACACTCAGAGAAGAGAGATTCCTTCAGAGAAAAGTTTGTGAGATGCCAGGAAGGCGCTAAAGGTTCCTTGGGGTAAAGCCACATCTTGAAGCCTTGATGTGGTTGTAAGGAATCAGAGTGATGGACTGGGTCCCCGTCTTATTTGTTTTTCTTTTTTTACCACACGTCCCAAGTACATCTATAGCTAACTAAAGCTTTACCACGGTATTTTCTGAGGAAAGAACTCTGAAATGCTCTTGGTTGAGTTTCAACCAAGCCAGCCCTCTTCTCCACCTTAGATTCTCATATCCAACAATGGGCATCTGCCTCTTGTATTCAGAACACTGATCCTACACTCGGACTGATCTTACTTCCTTCTCTAGTTTCCTTCGTGGAAAAATACCCTGTTACCCTAATTTCCATAGTTCTACTCCAGCAAGTCACTACTCCCACGTTCAGGACAACTGAGAGTCCCAGAGAGAACTGTCCCCTCTCTCTTCCCCTGACTACTCCCCTATTGCCCACTGTTGATAATAACTCCTTCCCTGTGTCTCTCTCACAAACACATACAGTCACATTCTATAGTGAAACAGGAAATTGAACTAATAGAACTACATCTCCATCAGAGACCAATCAATGCCATTGATTGGCACAACATTTCACTGGACATGAGGCGCCAGGGAGACAGGGGATCCTCCTTCCCTCCCCCTAAACTACACACACTGCCCCTCTGTCAATCCCCGGGATTCCACTGCACCAGTAGTTGCAAATTACCCACAAGTATCAAGCCCTATGCAGCTAGAGCCCACAGCTGAAGAGAAGCCAAAGCTACCAAAACATCAACCACTGGCTCAGGATTAAAGAGAGATAGGCAGTTCCATTCCTGTGAGCCCTTACCCTGTAGGGAGATCCTCCCTGACCCAGTAAGCCAAATCCACCCCATCCCTACCCTATTATCAAACCACAGAGAGCCAACAAGCTTAGTAAAATGCAGTGGTTTCCATTCTTTAAGCATGGACTCTCCATAGTCACTCCACCATTCCCCTCCAAATCACAGCACTGACCCCTCAGAAAGGGAAAGGAAATCATTTATGTGCCTCAATGTGCAAAGCCTTCCACCACTATGTGTTCATCATTCATTCCTAGAACATCCCTGAAGGTAAGGCATTATTATTTCCAGTTTACATGAGTGAACAGAGGCTCACAGAGCCCCAGATAACACAGTCAATAAACAGGATTTAGATCAAGGTCCTGTGACTCAAATCCCATGTCTTTCCACTCAAGAGTCAACACTTAGAGTTGTGCTCTCTTAGTATATACTCTAAATATACTTGCCTGTGTTTGGGTGTTTGTCTAATCATGTGCCTTTGTCACTGGTTCCTATAGCTCCCAGAATAGTGCCATGTGCTTGGAGGTAGTGTTGACAATGAAGACACATGGAGATGCCTTCCAAATCACTCCCAGTGTCCTCTTCCTTGAGAGGCCGATTGAGATCTAATCCAAACCTGAGGCATGTGGCTGTAGTTACCACATTTGGTGCCTTTTCTACAATATTTAACATAATTTAACAGGAGTTAAAACTATGATGCAAAGACATGAGAGGAAGCAGACGGAAAGTTGACCAAGAGATAAGCAGAGAGGGTAGAGTCACCTCTTCTATGAGCTTCATTTGGGAAAGAAAGTGGTATCACTGAGCCTCTCCCCAGGGAGATTCCCCTAGTTTAACTTGGCTGAGCCACTGATCCAGGCCCTCCCAATGACTCTCACCAGCATTCTGGGGACTCCCTTAAAGCCAAGGTAAACATGACTCAAACCAGCAGAAGCCAATATTGCTTGCTCTATGAGAACTTTCTCATAGTTTATCTAACCCAGGTTGCCAGAGCTTGGACAAAGTAGACAATCAGTTGCCAATGGCAACCAAACCCCATCACTTCCAACTTCATTTTGATTGGCTTAGAGGGATGGAAGTCAAGGAGGGTCCAGGAGCAAGTGGCCTTTATATCTAATGCATTCACTTAACAATCATCTTGCTTTATACGCATAACTCTTCAACTTTTTAAACGGCTTTTCAGTATCATTTCATCTTCTCTTATTCTCACTGTAATTCTTGAGGTGAATGATGATCTCCTCAGGCAGACAGGAACTCCCTGCAGTTGTTTTGTACCTCTCCACCAACCTCAGTACTTTTGGAAACCAAAAACCTTTTCAGCAAAGAAAGAGCAGGAATATGATCTTCCCAACACAAAGTCACAGAATCACTCAGCCTTAGAGATGGGTGGGTCCTTAGCAGCTCCCTAACTATACAACTCTCATCTGAGGGCAGGGGTGCACTCCAAACCAGTGCTGTGCAGTAGAACTTCCTGTGATGATGGAAATGCACATATCTGCTCTGTCCAATTGAGAACTGTACTGGAAAGAGAAGATGTGTGCATTTTGATCACTTGAAATGTAGCTAATATGACTGAGAAATTGAATTTTTAATTTTATTTTAACTAATTTTAATGTTAACAGCTACATGTGACTATTGGCTACTCTATGGGAGAACACACTCTATGGCATCCCAACCAGACTTTGCTGCAATGGTAATTTACTACCTCAATTTGATAGTGTCCACAAAGAGAGTCATGCAATTTTATACAGAGAATACCTGTTATCTGTGCTGAAAGAATTACGTGATAAAAACACCTTTTGCCTACAGTTTGAATGTTGATCACTTCAATAACAAAATGCTTACAAACTCTTACAGACTGAGCAGATTAGAAACAGAGAAGCCACTAAAAACCATCTAGCTCAACCCCTTTATTTCACAGATGGGAAAACAGGTTTGCTGTATCTTTCTCCTCGGGTCATACCTTACAGATCCTGTGTTCTCTAGGGAGTCCAGTGCTCTTCCATACAAGTAAACATTGCTCCCAGTGTTTCTGACAACTTTCTGAATTATTCTCTACCTCTAGGTATCCCAGGGTAAGAGCGAAGCTAGGGAGAAGGAATTAGAACTGTCACCACCATGACTAGCAACCAGAGTCTCCTGCTTAACAGGAGCCAATTTCATAGGAGCCACAGGTCAGCAGTAAAGTGCAGGGATCTAAGGGAGCCCTGGGCCCAGTCGCTCAGGCAGAGCCCTGCAAGGACACAGGGTTTACTCTTGGTCCACCCCCACTCCATCTTTACCTGTCCAGTCACCTATTTGGAAAGTCCCCAAATTTATTATTATAATATCATTATTATTATTATTTTGAGATGGAGTCTTGCTCTGTTGCCCAGGCTGGAGTGCAGTGGTGTGATCGTGGCTCACTGCAACCTCTGCCTCCCAGATTCAAATGATTCTCCTGTCTCAGTCTCACAAGTAGCTGGGATTACAGGCACATACCACCAGGACTGGCTAATTTTGTATTTTTTCTTTTAAGTAGAGACGGGGTTTTACCATGTTGGCTAGGCTGGTCTCAAACTCCTGGCCTCCAGTGACCCACCTGCCTCAGCCTCCCAAAGTGCTGGGATTACAGGTATGAGCCACCACGCCGGGCCCTCCAAATTTAGATGTTCAAAAAAACATCTGTTTCCTCTCACATTGGCTCAGAGCAGCGGTGTCAGTTTAAATTTGGGGCTTCTAGGCAAAACTGATTTCCAGAGGAATCCCTTTCCCTTTGTTATATGCTGAACGGACTCCTGGAGAGAGGGAGTCCCCATAGGTGTGGGTCCTGGAAATAAAGATTTTTAAGTTAGGGAGAGACATAATATAATTTTCTTATAAAAAGAAAAAACATATTTACTTTCTCTGCTTTTTAAAGCTGGAAATTAAGAAAATGTGAAAAAAATAATTTTTATGAGTATTATTTGAGCTATCTGGTGGTCCTGCTTCTGAAGGAGAAACATCTATGAAACATCACTCATGAAGCACTTAATGAACACCATCTTTCCAGTCACTACACTAGGCACTGCACTATCTCATAGGGGAGACAACCTTCATCTGTTCAATATTTGTTAAGCCCCCACTAAACAAAGTCGCTATCTTCATAAAACTTACATTCCAGTAATGGGAGGCTTACAAAAATCATGTGTACAAAACAACAATATTACTTGAGATAATACAAGTCCCACAAAGAACATAGAAGTAGTGGGATGGGGTGTGACGCTGGGATGGTAGAGTGGGGGACAGGCTACTCTAGCTAGGGTGGTTAAGAAAGGCCACTTTGAGGAGATGGCATTTGAGGGAGGGCCTGAATGCTGGGGAGCAGGCAGATGGGAGGATGAGCGGGGGAAGAAGACACCCCAGGCAGAGGAGCCACTTGTGCAAAGGCCCTGAGATGAGGACAAGCATGGTATGTTTGAGGGTCAGGAGGCTTGTAAGGCTGAAGTGAAGTGAACAAGCAGGAAGTGGTAGGAAGAGAGGTTTGAGAAAGAGGCCATGGTTCAGGGAGAGCACATGAGAAAGAGATCATGTGAGGCCTTACAGGCCGAGGTAGGTACAGTGCGAAAGCACTTGGAAGGGGTGGGCATTAAGCCCAAGAGACATGATCCAATGTATGAATATAAATATATACAATGGTGGATAAAATATTTACAATACAGGAAGAATGAGTGCAAGGCAGGCCATTACAAAGTACAGGAGCTATGCTAATAAAGAAATCTATACTGTAGGGAGGGGCTCGAGAAAGTCTAAGCCTCTTAGGGCATGGCATTCCAGGCTACAACAGAAGACGCAAAGAAGGAGCAGTGTGAAATGACATGTGTGAAACATGACGACATGTTGGAGGGGACCACATGTGGTTGCTATGGAGGTGGATAGGTACAAGCCATGCATGGGAACCATGCATACATCAGCCTTGGTAATTGAACGTAATTTGTTCTCAATCTTGTCTCTTAAAAATATTGGTACCCAGGCCCCACAACAGACAAATTAGATAAAAACATCTGAGGGTGGGAGGGCAGACACTGGCATATTGAAAAGCTTTCTAAGAGATGCTAATGCACAGCCAGGGCTAATAAGTGGTACTGTAGGCAATAATTTGAAGGGCCCTAAAAAATTTTAGACAAGCAGCAACATTTATTTCTCATAACAAATTTGTTTTTCTAAAGATTATATTTTATAATTCAGTAAAGTATAATATGTTCAAGCAGTGATGACAAATTAATTACTTGTGTTTTCATTTAAAACTCTGAACAATGTTACAAAAGGAATAACAAGTTTCCATTCCTCCTGACCTCTGGCTCCTCAGTTTACGAGAAACCTAGAAACTCTGAACAGAAGAAACCTTCAGCAATGAGAGCTGATAGATTTTATAGCCAGAAGGATACTGCAGAGAGCCCCCCTCATTTTACAAATATAAGGAGAGGCCCAGAGGGGTACTATGATCGGGACAAAGATGCCTGGGGTTAGCACCGAAGGTAGAGCTGGACTCCAAAGGTAGAGCTCTCTCCACAAAACCATGCTGCTTCTTGCATGTGACTTAAATAACAAAAGCCGTCCTAATGTCTAGACTTGGACATTTTCTACAATATTAATTAGATAGTGAAAGATCACTTAATTTTAGAAGAAATAAAATATAAATATAAAACAGGAAAGGGATAGGAAAAAAGAAGTCCAAACTAATCAAATACAGTTTTTAGCAAATATAACTTTATTTTTCAGGTTATCCCCTTAGTTAATAACCTCTATAGTTACTGCTCCTTCTGATGTTTTATTTTGATATTTCCATAGATTTCTGTAAACTGAGAGTTTATTCAATGTATGACAAGTTTTCTATAGGTGCATAATTCTTGTTCAAGGCATATATTTCAAAATGTAGACCCACATCTTTCTCCAGTTTCCAGAAAATAGAGAGTTTGAAGCAACAGACACAGAAGAGTGGGTTTGCTCCCATGCTGCAGAAGGCATTTGCAGGACAGAATTCCCAGCTCTATTCTAGAATCAAACATCTGAGGATTTTTTGAGTCTATATTTGGAAATGCCATTCCAACCCTGAAGGCTTGAAATGTGCTGCTTAAAGGTGTGCCAGGAAAATATGGCAGCAGCACCATCTGCATTTATACTGCCACCTTTTAGCCCTGGATCCAAGATTTATACAGCAACAATGGTCAACTATTCGGCTCTTCTCCATTTCTTCATGAAGTCTTTACTTTCCCCTGGCAGTGCACAGAGATTTTATATGCCGCCTAAATTAATCTGAAACAGAGGTAAAGGATGTCTCAGCCAAGGTCACTGTCCAATCTGGATGCAGTGATAGCTATAAAAACTGACTGTGTACAGTTAAGTGTGTGAGTTCTGCAGTAAATCCAAAACACAATGCTTCTTGCTACTCTGAATGACCACAGAAAAGGTTAGATTCAAGCTGGACTGTGAGCTATGAAAGCTACAACAGCCCTCAGCAGGGGACAGATGTTGCAACTGAGTCAACAGTGACTTGGCCAAGGCTTGGTCATGCAGAGGTGAAAGCAAATATCCAGGCATTAAACATCAGTCAGGTGGCCCAGGAGCAAGATGACATACAGGGAAGTTTGGAAGGAGAAGGAGAGAACTTGGAAGTTGGCTCAGAGCAAGCCTGTAGTGAGAACTATGAGCAAGGTCTATGGTAAAGAGCCACTCAGCTCAGTGTCCTGTTGTAATATTTATACATTTATTCTTCTACCTTTATAGCCTTTCTTCTTTCTTCTTTATGCAGATCCATGTTAGAACCTATTATGTGTTCAACCTATTATGTGTCCAGCAAAACATGTATTTTCATGTCACTGACAGATTTAGGCTAAAGAAATGCATGCCATAATGCAGCATTAGATGGGGACATTTTTTCTTCAAACTGCTTTCACATTACTTGCAACGTGATTTGTCAAAATAAATACCTTAGGACCTCGTCTCTGTAAGACTTCACATACTCTACATGTGGTGGTTCCCTTATATCTTCAAAACTTCTGGAAACACAAAAGCTGGCACAAGTGTCATTATCATGGAATCCATGGCTCCTTCCCTCTGTGCAACTGACCAGCCATCTGTTGGAAAGTCGTGCGCAGTTGCCTGCCTTTCATGGATGCTTCCATTGCCTGTTCAACATACTCACTCTCCAGGCTTGCCAAGAGTGTCTTCTGGACCCTGGGGCTGATGCTCACATGAAACCTTCTAGCCAATGTGCACTTTCAGGCACTCATACTAGGATACCAAGAGAATAGAGTGCTCTTTTAAAAAAAAAATCCTTCTCATATTTCAAACATCATCTTATCTATGAAGTAAGTGTTGTGAATATGGCTAAAGGGATTTCAGGTGTCTTGCCTTTGTTCCCTGTGTGGTCCTGGTGAGGATGCTGCAGTTTCAGAGACAGCAGTAGTAAACATTGGGAATTCAGAGTGCTAGAAGGAGGTACTGGTGTCATCTCCATCATGGGCCTCCTCTCACTCATGAAGAAGTACTTAATGTCAACAGACACTTCACTTCCTACACATGAAGATGCATTCAGTCATCCTTGTCTCCTTTAGATATGCATATATCGTTAGATGGCATTTAGAAGTCATGTTTACTCTTCTCACTTGGAATAACCTACAGTGAGGAAGGGGCTGCACTGTGCAAGGAGGAGCTTCCATTTTGCTAAGGAGGAAAAGGATAAGACTGTAGTTAGTGCTTCTCTAGGTTCTAGACAATCTTCTGCATTGTATATAAATCGGATAATGGCCCCTGTACAGGGCAAAGCACTATTCCAGCTCTGAGGGCCTCACCTCAGGACTAAGACCAGGTGTTTTGACTTTGCCTCAGAGCAGGGATTTGTGATTTAAATACATTATGGAAACATGCCACTGGAGCCAAAACAAACTATAATATTCCGAGTTCAGATAAATTTTAAACTCTTACCTTTCAGCGAGGAGACATTGCTTTTTTTCTTTGTGAATCTCAAGTTGAGGGGCCAAAAGAAGTTGAGTTCCAAGTTCCTTCCAACTCCCACACCTTCACACTGGCTCTCACTCCTGCCTCTCCTGACCACATTAAGGCAGTGAGCTCTTTCTTTTATAATATCCACAGGCTCCAGCAAGCATCTATTCCACCTAGACTTTCAATGCCTCATTAGGAAGACTGGGACCTGTCTTCTAACCTGTGGAGCAAAATTCAACAAGAAGCAGCCCACAATGAAGGCACTGAATTTTTCCTGCCCCCAACCCCCTCTTAGGAAACTGGCTGCCTGTCACACAAGTAGACATAACATTTGAGAGCTGTACCTGGCTCTGTATGTGACTCAAAATCATCTGGCACCATGGGCAGTTCTACATTGAACATTGTTCTCTGCTTCATTTTCTGGGATGATTTAGAGGAGGTACAATACAAGTCCCAGTATTTAAACCCCAAACTGTAAGTACTTTATTTTGTGATGAAGTAAAACAATTTCTCAATCCAAAAGGTATCTATCTTTCAACCCCTTTCTGAGTTACTTTCTGGGCCTTCAGCCTATGGGAGACTCCTCAGAAATGCAGAGACCCTCAAGCAGTAATCATACTTATGGCTCTGATCTTCAAAAACACCTTGGAGCTAGAGGAAGGAGACAATTGGGGGTGATCCTATAAGGCTTTGATGTGGATGCCCACAGGCCTGGAGAATGAATGATCTGGGAGATATGCAAATAGTTCTTGCTTCTTTCTGGGAGCAAAGTCTGGCCCACAGGACAGAGTCCATAATAACACGAGACATTTTTAGTAACATACAGGAGGCCACAGAAGATTCACATGTTTCTGTACTATAGATGCAAATCTGTTTTCACCTTGACCTACTGGGATAAGGAGTAAATTGAGAAACAAAGAAAAAGTAGTGCTAAGGCAGGAGAACAACCTTGAAGGCAGGGGTAGAGGGGGAGAAGCGATCTCAGATCATGTTATTAAGTTCAGCTTATAGTTCACTTCTGTTTCCATTATTGTGACATAATTTACTCCCTCCCAAAAGAATTTCTAGAGCCATCCAAAAGCATTAACAATAATATATTGTGTTGAGTCCTGGTAACCAGTCCTAATTCCTCGCAATGATTGCAAATACAAGCATTCACCACAAAATGTTAATAACTGCTCTGTAAATATCTGGAGTGGCAAATTTACTCACATATCAGCTTTGTCCTGTATGTACATTACTTTTTTGGGGGAGGGATGGAGGTATGACTTTTCTATCATGGTAAAATAGATAGCATATATTATTGACCATTTAATCCATGTTTAAGTGTACAGTTCAGTGGCATTCAGTCCATTCACATTTTCACATTGTTGTGCAACCATCACCACCAGCCATCTCTAGAACTTCATCATCTCAAACTGAAACCTTCATTACTTTTCACACAGTATGTGAGCCTCCCTCAAACCCCAAAGGATTAAGACTCCCCCTATCTTCCTTCTCAGTCCTTGGAGAACTACAGGATACAATATTATACAGCATTTTAAGGTTTACAAAATATTTTTCCTCAATGCTCACATAAACTTTGTAAGCCTTCTGTACATGGGAGAAGACCAAGAATCCAAGAAGGGGACAGACTTGCTCAGACAGGGCACTGACCATGCAGGGATCCAGAGAAGGCTCCCAGTGTGCATCCCATTATCCCTCACCACCTCCGACACCAAGGAGGAGAAAGAAGGTGTTGGAGTGGTACCTAAGGAAATCCTCCAAAGGCCAGGCTGTCTCTTACCCCACCCTCTGCCTGATGTGACTCCATCTGACAGATAGTCAGAGCTGCCTGATGGCCCAGAAAAAAAAAAGACCATTTTCTTACACATCATTCATTGCAAAAAACCAATTGGGTCATTTCACACTTCCTTTCCTTCTCTTCTCTTTTCACTCACATAAAAGCAAACCCACATCCCATCCACTTTTCACAAAAGCACCACAGTACACTCCCCATCACCCTTCTCTCTGCACAGACCTCTTTTATTCCTGATCATTCTAACCAGATTCCTTCTTCATAAAAACGTGAACATTCAAGAGATCCCATCTGATGTGATTTCTCCCTCCTGCACATTGCAGGGATGGCTTGGCCCATGGCTTCCCATCATCCTGAGGCTGCCCTGAGTGCTTGATGGGCCCCTCCATCCAGGCCGGCATGGAAGACATGGTCTGCTTTTCTGTGTATCCTCTGTTCCTCTTACAAGAACACCCGTCATTGGATTTAGGGTCCACCCTAATCTAGTATGACTTCATCTTAACTAATTATAT